>NC_000002.12:31186877-31339627 GCF_000001405.40 Homo sapiens | reverse complement strand
ACACTATTCCCCCGAGGGGAGCCTGCACACCCGTGGCCCTAGCACCTACAAGATCCCGGCATTTGGCAGCATCCCCATTGAGTTCAGGGTGTCCCTGCTCCGCGACTGCCCCAACAAGAAGGCCATCTATGCATCGAAGGTACCATTGCTCTGGCTCTGTGCTGTCTCTTCTGATCTGCCCTGGGGGAGGCCCCAGCGGGTGATGAGAGGCCTCAGTGACCCACCTGGTGGGACTTCAAAGGGCATATCTTGAGGAGGGAAGATGGTTTGACACTGACCTTGGTAGGGGCAGTGGGATAGTTGGGCAGTCCTGCTTGAGAACCAGTTAAATTGGGTTGAGGAGAGCACCTTAGTATGGTCTGAAGCCCACTTCTTTGGGTGAATTTAGAGGGATTCCTTCATCAAATCTTCTCATTTAAATCCTGGCCCACACCCATATCTCAGGCGTACGTCACTGGTGCTTGATCCTAAGAGATGATTTTACAGGTACAGCATTAGTATGGTCCAATGACAATCAGCACATTCACTGCCAATGGGATAGCACCTTTGTACACACCCTTTTACCTCCTTCAGTTGCCAATACTCGACCTTAAGACTTGATCAGGCTGGGTGCGGTGGCTCATGCCTGTAATCCTAGCACTTTGGGAGGCCTAGGTGGGTGGATTGCCTGAGCTCAGAAGTTCGAGACCAGCCTGGGCAACATGGCAAAACCCCATCTCTACTAAAAATAAAAAAAATTAGCTGGGCATGGTGGGACATGCCTGTAATCCCAGCTACTCAGGAGGCTTAGGCACGAGAATCTTTTGAACCTGGGAGGCAGAGGCTGCAGTGAGCCGTGACTGGACCATTGCACCCCAGCCTGGGCGACAGAGCGAGACTCTGTCTCAAAAAAAAAAAAAAAAAAAAAAAAAAAGACTTGGTCAGATGCCTGGAGGATTGTGTCTTCTATTTCTTCCTTATCTGCAGTAAGTATGAAAAAATGGTTGAAAATTGATTTAGCTGATGCATATAATCCTAGTTTGAAGAAGGAAGGCAACTAATCCTTGGTAACCAAAGAAACATCCATTTGCTCATCTCGTGGTTTACTTTACCATAGTGGGTGGGGAAGCTGGGACATATTGTGACCCTTGCCATTGACTGTCATACTTTACCATGCTTGGGAATTACTGAGGCCCATGATAAAAATGTGCCTTTCTGGGGCCCACGCCTAGAAATTTTGCTCCAATAGGTGTGGCTTAGGGCCCTGGAACATGCATTTTCAGCAAGTATCTTTAGTGATTCTGATATAGGTGGTCTCTGATCTATACTTTGAGGGGGAGAAAAACCAACCTATGCTAGAAAATGTTTTAATTCCTGTTTGTTCTTATGCCTATAATTCCTGCGGATGCTGTAATATGACTATGGTGCCTGTAAATGTTGGTGTCAGAGTTGCAGGTAGACTCTTCCCCTCGGCTAGTGACTGAGGAAAAGGTTAAAACTCACGTCAGATTTTGTGGTCTGTAAAATACAATTACCGAGTATAACTTTAAATGGTACATTATATGTGCATGATGTCATCAGAGAAAATTACATGAGTGTTCAAAGAAATATGTCCATGCGGTCCAGTCATGTACTAGCTTGATTGTTCTTAGCCCCTGATCATTTCTGACTGTGCCTTCCTGCTGTATTTGGTGTGGCTCCCATCAGTGCTTTCCTGGTGCCACCAGCCCTCCTCGTGCAGAGTTTGCTGCCTGGCCTCCTAGGTCCACTTGATGATGTGGAGGCAGGACCACCTGCCTGAGCCCCTGCCCTGTGCCCTGTCTGTGTTCAGGCTGTTGGAGAGCCGCCCCTCTTCCTGGCTGCTTCTATCTTCTTTGCCATCAAAGATGCCATCCGTGCAGCTCGAGCTCAGCACACAGGTAATAACGTGAAGGAACTCTTCCGGCTAGACAGCCCTGCCACCCCGGAGAAGATCCGCAATGCCTGCGTGGACAAGTTCACCACCCTGGTATGATGCCCCTCAAGCATCCACTCAGTCCAGGGGAGGCCAGGGATAGGCTGGCAAACTGCAGGGAAGGTTCTGCACAGAGGAGAGGTGTTGGGCTCTCTCCTAACCGGGCAGCCTTGCATCAATGGCCACCCTTCATTGTGCATGGTATGAAGCACACACTCGAACTTGCAAGAGAATAATGAGAAACCTCCTTAAAGCTATAGCTTGTAGCTGGGCCTCCTTAGAGATGGGAGGAATGTGTGGTGCACAGTCATAACTCACAGATTTTATTATTTTCCATCTAGATAAGGATGATGGATGAAACTCCAGAGAGCCTAATCTTTAGTATGAGTCAGTCGCTAGCATTTTTTTTTTTAATTTATGTTAAGGACACTGTATGAATATTGGGGGGATGGAGGGAAAAAGAGGAAATAATTAATTAGATCAACCACATTTGTCCTGTGATGATCATGTGCCATTCTGATACTGGGGACACATAGATGTCCTTGAGGACTTTGCAACCTTGGGAAACCAGATGATTCCATTATAGGGTGATTGATTACTGCCTTGGAGGTGTATGTGGCAGAAAGTAGTAGAAGAATTCCGTAGTCATTGGAATCACTTTAAGAAGCACCTATGTGATACTTGTAGTTGGCAATGCCTAACAAAAGAAGACTTTGCTAGGACGGTTGCTTCCGCTTTGGGGATCTCAGAACCAGCCCAGCCTCTGAGTGGTGCTGAAGTGGGCTCTGTACAGTGGCTTTAATTGCCTTTGCAACTGCAACCTGTGTGGAGTTAGCAGGACTGGGTTCTTCCTGATACTCAGGTGGGGCTTTCTCTTTTTAAAATTCGATATGCTTTTTGGATTTATAGGTAAAGTGGGTACATGTGGTCCCAAGTGGGGAGGGCACAGAGGAACCCCAGGGGCAGACAAATCCACCATCCGCAGACCTCAACACAGTGGGTGAAGGAGGCATATGGGTCCCCATTCAGGTCTTCCTTGGGTCTACCAAGAGCTTTAGCTATGGAGTGAGAACTACACAGACCGTGTGGCACTCCCAGGCAGTAAAGATGCCCACATCTGTGCAGCAACCTACCCACAGCCCAGAACCTTCCCACTATGGCTCCCAATGCTGACAATCACCCAAACCCATTTCCCTGAGAGGAGTGGGTGGCATGGCTCCCAATAAGCTGCCACAGTTTGCAAGGCGAGCTCTTTGCCAACAGTCTGATGCAGAACTCAGTCATTTTCGTAAGCTCTCTGTGGCCCCAGACCTGAAACAAAGATCCGTTTCTATGTTACAACATACCAGCGATTTAAAAATTCTTGCCATGGATTTGCATGAGCAGCTGATTCTATGAACTTTTTAAGGACTGTGAGTTTCAAAAGGGATCACATCTGTATTGTTTGTCACCATATCTCCAAAACCTAATAGAACGCCTGCCATGTGGAAAGTGCTCAGTGAAAATAAATGAATGGCTTAGGAAATTAAGGAGTCCTGCCCTGAGGCATTCTCAACAGCTAGGCCTGCAGAGTGGTGCTTGGCCTTGGAATGATGGTTGGCAGTGGTGGGAGGTGAGGTATGCAAGAGAGTGGGAGGAGCATGATCAGCAGACCCTGGCAATGAGAACACTATCATTCCTTCCTAGTGTGTCACTGGTGTCCCAGAAAACTGCAAACCCTGGTCTGTGAGGGTCTAAAGAGAGAGTCCTCAGCAGAGTCTTCTTGTGCTGCCTTTGGGCTTCCATGGAGCAGGAGGAACATACCACAGAACATGGATCTATTAAAGTCACAGAATGACAGACCTGTGATTTGTCAAGATGGGATTTGGAAGACAAGTGAATGCAATGGAAGATTTTGATCAAAAATGTAATTTGTAAACACAATGATAAGCAAATTCAAAACTGTTATGCCTAAATGGTGAATATGCAATTAGGATCATTTTCTGTCTGTTTTAATCATGTATCTGGAATAGGGTCGGGAAGGGTTTGTGCTATTCCCCACTTACTGGACAGCCTGTATAACCTCAAGTTCTGATGGTGTCTGTCCTTTGAAGAGGATTCCCACAAACCTCTAGAAGCTTAAACCGAAGTTACTTTAAATCGTGTGCCTTCCTGTGAAAGCCTGGCCTTCAAACCAATGAACAGCAAAGCATAACCTTGAATCTATACTCAAATTTTGCAATGAGGCAGTGGGGTAAGGTTAAATCCTCTAACCATCTTTGAATCATTGGAAAGAATAAAGAATGAAACAAATTCAAGGTTAATTGGATCTGATTTTGTGAAGCTGCATAAAGCAAGATTACTCTATAATACAAAAATCCAACCAACTCAATTATTGAGCACGTACAATGTTCTAGATTTCTTTCCCTTCCTCTTTGAAGAGAATATTTGTATTCCAAATACTCTTTGAGTATTTACAAAAAAGATTATGTTTAATCTTTACATTTGAAGCCAAAGTAATTTCCACCTAGAAATGATGCTATCAGTCCTGGCATGGTGGCTCACCCCTATAATCCCAGCACTTTGGGAGGCTAAGGCAGGAGAATTGCTTGAGCCCAGCAGTTTGAGACCAGCCTGGGCAACATAGAGAGCTCCTGTCTTTAAAAAAAATTTTTTTAATTAGTTGGTCTTGATAGTGCATGCCTGTAGTCCCAACTACTTGAAAGGCTGAGGTGGAGAGATCATTTGAGCTCAGGAGGTTGAGGCTGCAGTGAGCTATGATTGCGCCACTGCACTCCTGCCTGAGCGACTGAGCAAGATCTTGTCTCTGAAGAAAAAAAAAGAAATAAAAATGCTGCTATCAAAATCAAGCCCAACCAGAGGTAGAAGAGCCAAGAAGCCTGGGTTCTCATCCTAGCTCTGTCTCTTCTGTCTCTATCTTTGTGATCTTGGACTGTCAATTCCCCTTCCTGTGATCCATTTTACTGCAAACATAAGGGTTGCAGTAAAGGGTTGTCTCACGTCTTCTGCTTTAAAAGCCTATAAATATATGACCTGAAAACTCCAGTTACATAAAGGATCTGCAGCTATCTAAGGCTTGGTTTTCTTACTGTCATATGATACCTGGGTCTAATGAACTCTGCTGAGATCACCTCAAGTTTCTGCGGTTGGTAAAGAGAACAAGGGAAGAACAAACATCCCTTTTATTGCTCCAAATGGTGATTTAATCCCTACATGGTGCTGGGTGGACAATGTGTCACTGTCACATGCCTTCACTGTATAAATCCAACCTTCTGCCAGAGAGAATCTGTGGTTCTGGCCATGGAGGGAGGATAGTGGAAATGATATAGTTGGACTGGTGCTTGATGTCACTAATAAATGAAACTGTCAGCTGGTTGGCGTGTGAAAAATGCTTATTAATTATCATCACACCAAATGCTAGTATCTTCAGTATCTTGGCCAGCCTTCATTTCTTGAAAACACACACACACACACACACACACACTTTCTTACAAAAATCCCTCTCCAGAGTATCCTAGATATGCTGGCTGTTGTACAGCATGGTCAAGGTAGAAGAGCTTTAAAAACTAAACGAGTGTTTACACTGAGATCCAGGTCCATTTCAGATGATTTTCTGGGATGTTCTGGGACAGGGCCTGAGACCTGTCACTTGTTTTTAGTGAAGCTCTTGGGGTGAAGCAGTGACACAGAATTCCCTTGTGTGCTTAGGTACCAAGGTGAGAGTAGAGTGGTCATGAAAATCCAACAAGAAAGTGCTTTGTGAACTAGAAATCACTGTGCTATTCAGAGGCATCGTCCGTCTGAGACACCTTGCCTTGCCCTGTTGTCTTAAAGTGCTTCCAGTCTATACAGTGAGATGTCTTGGTCTTTTTTGGTGTTGCACAAGGAATGCAGTCAACACTGCCTGCGGTATCGCCTGGAACCTGCAGAGGGCAGTAGAAGATTGAACAAGGGGCAATATTGTCCAGGTGGCCCAGCAGCATCGCATTTGTTAACCATTAGGTACTGATTTAGGTAGGATCTCTGCATAGACCAGATGTCCTCGGAGGCTTCCCCAAGAGCTGAATTCAAAGCTGACTTAGGGTTTTAGAATGACAAAAGTCTCAAAGGAGCTCTCCAAAGACATGGGTCAGCCGTGGGAGTCTGAGCTCCAGATGAATGGCTAGCAAGGGGAAGGCAATTCTTATTTTCAGAGTATCTGCAACTTGCCAGGTGACAAGGTGAATGCTTTACCTACAGGGTCTCATTTAATCCTCCCAGTGGTTTTACGAGGTAGGTCCTTTAACCCCTATAACCACATGAAGGAGAAGCCCTACCCCTGACCATGCTGAGGGCTTACTCAGAGACATTTACTCCTAAGTGCCCACCACAACCAGCGGGCAGCTCCCTTACAGGCCAGGAAACCTGGTGTGTATTGGGAGTCACCTGCCTGTCAGAGTGGACAGTTGCTAGCCAGGCTCACGGAGGTGGATGGAGGCACCAGGATGCCCACCGTTTCATTTATAGGCAGGCTGAGGATTCTCTTGCTGGCACGGCCAGGGTACTGAGTTGTCATCAGGGCAGCTGATGAGACTCCCCTTACTCCAGAGCTAGGTGGCTGGGAGGCTGGGACAGGAGGGCAGGACAGAGGTTGTAGGAGGAACTCTGGGCAAGGGATAAGGACAGAAATAGTCTTAGCTGATTGATTTATGACTGAGAACATCCCCGAACCCATGGTATTTTTATCTTTTGCGGAGGGGGAGCCTGGAAACCTGTCCATTTGCTGCCTATTTTGGATCGTGGGACAAGATGATTCCTGACATACAGCTTCCTTAAACATGAGGTCACCCTGGTGCCCCCCAGGCCCAGGAGCCTGCCCTTTTGTTTTGTTTCTATCCTGAACTGGGGGAGTACGTGTTCCTAAGGCAGGAGACAGATCCTGTGACAATCTTGTCACCTGAAACAAATCAACCTATTGATGGAAGTGGAAATGTCAGGCACTGCCCAAAGGGATTCTGGCGTCATCTCTGTCCTTGAACTGTCCTGCTCTGGCTTGCACAACCCCCCAGGCCACCTCAGCATCCCAGAACTGGAAAGACCATCAAGTTCAATCTCTCTATTTTAGAGAGGAGAAACATAAGCCCACAGAGAGAAACTGACTCGCTCAGGGTCCTACGGCCCTTTAGTAGCACAGTCAGACTGACAGCAAGGCTGCCTGGTTCCTGGTCCAGGCTTTTTAAAACTTAACCATACACCACTAGTCAACTGAGCCTTCTATTAGGAAACCTGTGGGTCAGGGAGCTGGGGTATATGACAGAAATCTAGTTACACTGAATGGGAAGAAGACAGAGCAAGCTTGAGGCCCAAGATAAACACTGGTGAGGAGGGTAATATGCCTGTATGCCTATATATGCCTATCTGCCTGTGCTCCTGTCACAGGATGCTAAAATGGGATTCTTTCCGCAGCCCCACAGATGGGAAACAAAACAATGAGTGCAAAAACATCCCCTCATTTCAAAGAGAGATGCTGAATCTAAATCATCTGTGCAAGACTTGCGGAGAGATGGCTGGAAACTAATTTTGCCACCATTAACTCCTCATCTACCTCAAGAGTTTAAAAGATTGAAGTACAGAATTTGAGAGATTGGGAAGAGAGGTTTCCTTTGGAGGTAGCAAACCATGCATTCTCCCTGCCAAACAGGAGAGAGTGTGTGTGTGCATGTGTGTGTGAGAAAAGGGGGGTCTCGTGGTAAATGAGATCTGCTTGGGAAGCTGTGGTTGGATTAGACTGAGGCATTAAGGTAGTGAGAGGAAGGGGATGAGAGCCACAGGGCAAGGATACCAGTGTGGCCACACTGGAGGGATCCACCACCCAGGAGGACTTCCTGAAGGGTGTCATGGAACCCCAACAAACAACGGGACCATCTGATGCCCCAGGATCAAAATAGCCTCGGGCTGGCTTGTTCCAGTGTGGCCCATGAGGAGTGCCCACACATCCTTGCCCTGGATCCTTTGTTCCAGTTTAAATTTCCCCCTCTCCCCACACCTTTCAGTAGGGAAGAAGGTGAGCCCAAGAGTGAGACCCTTTTCTTTGAGCCCTGAGTGTTAGTGGGAGGGAGCTTAGGAATGGATACACAGGCTGCAAACATTGCACTGATGAGCCCGTGCATCAGCCCTGGGAGCATAGAGTCTGAGTGGCATGTCATTTGCTCCCCTCCTCCTATCTTTCCGTCTCCATCACATCCTGGCAGATTTGATCCCCTGTTCAGCCAATTGCCCTTATCTGTGGGCTGACAACAAAGTCGTTCTGGTCCATGCATGTGCTCTCTGTTCTTCCTCTCACTAGATGGAGTATTCCCAGGGGTCCTCGTGGTGGCTGACGTTCTTGTGGGACACTCACTACCTTTCCTTGCTTCCCACCGAGGCTAGACTGAGCACCCGCCCCAGGGTGGTGACACACAGCATGCCTCTGCCCACTCTTGGGTGTTAGGAGCTGAGCATAAAAGCACGTGTGGAGTGCTCAAGCTCCTCTGCTTCTCCTCTGCTTCCCTCTTCCCTCTTGGGCAGGTTGCTTAGCTCCTCTGACCTCAATCTGTTCATCTGTAAAATAGGTGTGGATAATCATATCCACCTCACTGGGCTGTTGTGAAGATTGAAAGAATCAGTGGGGTTAAAAGCACTTTTTGGAGTACAGAGTTGTTGTCATTTGCAGGCCTTTGACCATGCCTTAAAAGGGGAAGAGCACCGGGAAATCATGAGTAAGCTTTCCAAAACTTGGATGGAAGGGAAGATGCAGGAATGCATCTCGACCATAATGAGGTGTAGGGTGATGGGTACATGGATTAGCTGTGATCTTAGGCCAGGTAAGAGAAGCTCACCTGCTCCTTTTGGCACAAATGATTGATTAGCATGTCTCAGCTTCTCACGTGAATGTGATTTTCCCAGCACGTTGGGCTGGGTAGGAGGGCCGGCTCTCAGCTCCCTATAGCTGACTAAGTGGCACAGGTGAGATGGAATGAAGAGCTCGTCAGCCTCACCTGGCTATCTTCACAAGCCTTTATCAGAAGTGCAGAAGTCACTCTCTTCTGTTATTCTTGCTGTTTAGTTTTGTCTGACAATGACAACAACTGGCATTTGTATAGCAATTTGAAAGGCACTCCCCGTTGCAATGCTTTCTGTAACTCTTGCGATAAACCTATGAGGTGTGTATTACAATCATACCCACTTTACAAACAAAGAAACTGAGGCTCGGGGAGAAGATGATGGTGCAGACAAGAGCACTACCTGTGAAATCAACTGATGTGTTTCAGTCTTTGTCTCCCACTTAGCTGCTGTGTGATCTCGGGCAAATTGCTGAAATCTTTACATTTCTACTTCCTTGTCTGTGAATGAGATCATGGTGGTACTTTCATGGGGTTGTGGAGAGGATGGCATCCAAAAATGCAGGGAAAGCACAAAACCTAGTGCCTGGCAAGGAAGCTTCTACTCTTATACAGCGAGAGTACACCTGAGGAGTGTTAACTAATAAGAAAACCAACACTGCACAGCCGCAAACAAAAGAGAAGATGTTTTAACTGGGGTCTTGGGAATTGTAATGAGCAAGCAGCTAAATTGTGTCCCATCCAGGTGAGGTTGGGTAGGGGCTTATAAAGGTTTACTGTAAGTTTACCTATCTGGAAGGTTCTAGCAGAGTCTTTAATTGATGATGGCTGGTCACAGCTTAGGATGTGTCTGATGATCAATCCAGTTTGGCATAGCTGTTTCTCCAGGAGGTTAATGATCAGGTCCAATAGAAACAGCTGAGATCAAATGCAGCTGGTTTTACAATTTGGCCCAGTTTAATAGATCAGATTCCATCTGGGTGTGTACGTGACTGGGGTCCAACTCCTCATGCCTTCCTGGCTTTTTTGATACTTCTGACATAACCATCTCCATTTGGATTTTCTTTCTGACAGCAATGACTTTAACCTAAGACTCCAGATGCCAAAGCTTGAGCTCTTTCAATGGGGTGGTGCTGGCTCTTAATTTTTTGCATTACACACTTCAGTTGGCTTCTAGCCCTGGAGAGAACACACACACACTCACACACCCATCACAACCATCTCTCTACCTGTTCACTCTCTTCCATCCCTCCATCTTGGTCTCAGAATCCAGGGGAAAGGACATGCCTGGCTCATTGTCAGTAGAAAAGCACCTGCCTTAGGAATCAGACTCCCTGCTTCTCTTTCCAAACCCAGAACAGTCACTTCAGAGTGGGAGGCAGCTCCAGAAGGCGAGGGGGTTGGGAGGCATTGTTGATAATGGCCCAAAGGTCATTTCCTCCACACCCCAGGGAGTCCTGATTGTTGCTTAATGATAAGCCTTTCCCAGGGTACAGAATGTATGGCAGAATGTATGGGGTCTTGGACCCTTTCTCCATCCTCCTGAGAGCCATCAGTCTTATCAAGTGAAAGTATTCTTTGTCTTCTTGGAGTGGGCCAAGGGCTTCCTGCCAGGACCCTGTGTACTTTATAGGCCTTTGTGGATTGGTGACAATGGTCCCGTGGTGGTTCTGTAGTAGTGTGGAGCTCTGGGCTCTCCTATGCACTACTTTAATCTGGAAACACCCCCCATTCTCCATCCCCACTGCTGGGGGCCAGGAGTGCTGTGCCTCTGGGAGATGTGGCTGTAGTAAAGTTGTTGGTAATTTGTGGCCTTCAGCTGATGAGGAGATTGGCTTGCAAGGCACTCGGTATGCATGTTCCTAAGTCCCAAAATCAGGTTTTCTCCTTCCTCAACTATATATGCCATGTGTTCCTTTTAAAAGGCCAGATGCTGGGCTAAGCTAGGGGCTCAAGTGTAAAGAGCAAGGGCTGCCAGCAAACGCTCTACTCAGCTCCAGTATTTTCATAAGTTCTCTTCTCTTGGGAACATTACTCACCCTCTGAGCCTCAGTTTCCTCATTTGTAAGTGGAGGAGAATAAGACCTGTTGTCAGTGTGGTGAAGTTAAATGACATAGTCAATGAAAGGCACCCAGCACAGCCTGGGCAACATAGTGAGACCTCGTCTCTAAAAAAATTTTTAATTAGCCGTGTTCGGTGGTGTGCACCTGTAGTCCTAGCTCCTTGGGATGCTGAGGCGGGAGGATTTCTTGAGCCCAGGTGTTTGAGGCTGCAGTGCACCTCAAATCAGACCACTGCACTTCAGCCTAGGTAACAGAGAGCGACTGTCTCAAAAGGAAGAAAGAAAATAAAAGAAAACAAAGACACTCAGCACAGCATCTGACACCTGTTGTTAGGTGCTTAATAAATGTCAATACCTTGCTGTTCCAAGATTCTCCAAGCCTATGTACAACAATTTTGTAAATTTAGTGTCCAAACATGTTTATGCTATACACTTGTAGTAGACACTATTGCAAATCCTTTTCCTTGGCTGGGAGTTACTAGTTCCTCTAAATGTTGGCAGCTGACAGTACACATCTGCCTATTATCTTGAGAATTGCCCTCAGCTAAAACAGAAGTCCCCTCATCTGGGAGTTTATACCATCTTTTAAGGCTTTGCTTCTTGGGAACCACCCTATGACAGGATATATACCATTTTCTACTTGCATAACTTACTAACAAATCACATTCTTCCCTCCCTACTCTCTGGGTATTGTATGGCTGGGAATCCTCACTCTGCTATAATGTAATATGTGGCTGGGAATTCCCAATCTATTGGGAGCTGAGACCCAGTGTAGTGAGGTAAAGTGTGTGTGCTTGGTTGATCTTGACAATACGTTCAATTTCTCCGGAGCCTCAATCATTTTCCATAGCCACTTGCCCCATTCTCACAGTAGATAACATCCCTGGTCAAAGCATTAT
The DNA here is from genome assembly GCF_000001405.40 of Homo sapiens. Lineage (NCBI taxonomy): Eukaryota > Metazoa > Chordata > Mammalia > Primates > Hominidae > Homo > Homo sapiens. The sequence continues at coordinate 31,327,872 of NC_000002.12, read as the reverse complement.
CAGTTTCCTCTATTGCTCCATCAAATGCTCCTCTTTTCTTGAGATAGCAATTGAGTAGCCACACACATGACCTGAGCTGTCTGCCTGGCCATTGTTGGCTCTTCATACTTTGTTTACCTAAGCTCTGAGAAAACTATGTGTATTGCTCAAAGGATTGCATAACATTTTAGAGTTGGAAGGGACAATCCCCAGTGGTCCTCAACTGGGGGTGATTTTACCTTTAGGGAACATTAGGCAATGTCTGGAAATCTCTTTGGTTGCTGCAACTCAGGGAGGGGTGGTGGCTCCTGGAATCAGGCAGGTAGAGTGCAGGGATGCCGCTAAACATCTTATATTGCACAGGGCAGCCCACTGCAACAAAGAATTATTCAGCCCAAAATGTCAGTAGAACTGAGGTGGAGAAAGCTGAGTCTAGCCTACCACCTGGATGGTGGGGAGGAGGCAACGGAGGATTCTGGAGGTGGCTGTGGCAGAATTAAAAGCCAAGTCTCCTTAGCTATTCTTTCTACTGATTTAGTTGTTTCATTACGATAACGTCGGTCCTTTGTAGTAAGTGTGCGATAGCAATCTCTCTACAAAATAGAAATTTTCTAGCGCAAGAACGTACCAAGAAATTCTTATTTGTAAATGGACACTCATACGGTATCCATTCCAGCATAGTGAATTACCCTCCCTGCAAAAGAATCATAAATGATGATATTTAACTTTGATATTTGCTTCTAATCCCTTATCAGAGCACATAATTATGTGTTTTGTTTGAACTATAGTTCCTTAACATCGTTCTATGTATTGGGGAAATTATACCCAGGAGTGGACTATCTGGTTTGTTAGTCATGTTTCAAATGTGTTTACAACCAGGTACATTTGTGAATTTGCTTCTTCCTTGTGGAGGGTCTATTTTTGCCTTTAAAAACATTTTTCTTAAATAAAAAGAAAATTACAGTATGAACCAAACATAAGTAATATAGAGAACGATAAAATACACATATATACTTCCCACCTGGTTCTAAAAAAATGTTTGTTTGCCCATATTTGTTTCCCATGGTAAAAGATTAATGTTACAAGTACAGTTGAAGCTTCCCATTTTATCACCCCACTCTGAGATTTTGCCCTCTGCCTTGAGGTAATTACCATCCTAAGGTTGATGTAAAACATTCCCATCCATGTTTTTATATTTTAATGCATGTGAACATATCCTAAGCAGTGCACAGCGTATGTGTTTTAAAATTCACACCCATTAACCACCACAATGACTAACATTAAAAAGACTAAAAATATCAAGTGTGAATAAGAGGTGAAGGAACTGGAACTCTCACACACTGCTAAGGTAGTAAAATGGTACACCCAATTTGGAGAACTGTTTATGAGTCTCTACTAAAGCTGAAAGTATGCATACCCTCTGACCCAGCAATTGCTGAGCATATACCCAAGCGAAATGCTTGCACATATGAACCAGAAGAAAAGTCCAAGACCGATCATAGAAGCACTGCTTGTAATAGTCCCCCAAAATTCCCAAATGTAGATCCCCAACAGAGTTCATAAATTAATTGCAGCATATCCATACAATAGAATACCAGCATACCAAAGAAAATAAATAAAATCCAGCTTCATACTTCCATTAGGATGCATCTCACAAACATAATATGGAATTAAAGAAGCCAGACACAGCTGGACATGGTGGCTTGCACCTGCAGTCCCAGCACTTTGGGAGGCTGAGGCAAGAGGATTGCTTAAGCCCAGGAGTTTGAGACCCACCTGGGCGACAGGGCGAGACCCCATTTCTAGAAATAGAATTATTTTTATATTTTTATTATTATTATTTTTGAGAGAGGGTCTCCCTCTATTGCCCAGGCTGGAGTGCAATGGCATGATCTCAGCTAACTGCAACCTCTGCCTCCTGGGTTCAAGCAATTCTCATGCCTCAGCCTCCCCAGTAGCTGGAATTACAGCCATGTGCCACCAAGCCTGGCTAATTATTGTATTTTTAGTAGAGACAGAGTTTTGCCATGTTGCCAGGCTGGTCTTGAACTCCTGGCCTTGGCCTCCTAAGGTGCTGGGATTACAGGCGTGAGCCACCATGCCCAGCTGAAAAAAAAAAAATTTGTTTTAATTAGCCAGGCATGGTGTCACCCACTTGAGGTCACAATTATTTGGGAGGCTGAAGTGGGAGGATTGCTTGAGCCCGGGACGTAGAGGCTGCAGTGAGCCATGGTCATGCCACTTCACTCCAGCCTGGGCCTGGGTGACAGAGGGAGATCCATCTCAAAACAAAAACAAAAACCCAGACGCAAAGAGTTCACACTGTATGATCACATATATATACATTTCAAAAACAGGCAAAACCAACCTCTAGGGTTAGAAGTTTGATCGTGGTTACCTTTGGAGGTATGTAGTACTCGGGGAGAGCCTCTGGGAGGGCTTGGTCATGTTCTATTTATGTGAGTGCAGGTTACCAGGCCAGGTCACTTTTCAATAATTCATTGAACTGTTCATTATGATTTGTACATTTTAGGTAAGTATGTATGTATATATATCATTCTTCAATAAAAAGTTTCCTTTGGAAAAGATCTACATTCATGATATCATATTGTGATAGCCTTCTGCAATTCCTTGTTTCTACTCAATGTTATGCTTCTAATATTTATTCATCTGGGCCCATTTGATCTGGTTTAGCCATTTATCCATTACATGGTGCTTTATTACATGCCAACATTAATTTTTTTATCCCCATACCATTGGATGTTTATGCTGTTTATCATCTTCCCTTTTCAATGTAGCGAACAATTTTGAACATGCCTCCTTCTGCAATGCATGAGAGCTTTCCTCTAAGGCACATAGCCCACACTGGAATTTTGGAGCATACCTTCCCCATTTCTTTATTTTCAACTGTTCGTGTCACGTTTTATTGAGTCTCTAATAAATAATACACATAGTTTGTGTATGGTTTGGCCTCTTATGAATAGCATGCATGATGGACGTGTGTGTTTAAATGCAATCTAAGGATATTTCTCTTTTAACTGGCAAAACAATGTGTTTACATTAATTGTGATTAATAGCCTATTTTGACATTTCTATCATCTCATTTGGTGTGTCACTACTGACCATGTTCTTTCTCTTTTTCTCATTGTCTGCTGTTGGCTTAATCAAGCATCCCTGTCCCCCGACCCTTCCCCTGCCCCACCATTCTCCCCACCTCATTCTTTATATGAGTTTCGTGCTTCTACATCCTATTTCTATTCTTTTAGAAGTCATCTCTGTATTTTTAGCATGCACACTTGATTCAGCAAAGCCTATGTTTAATTAATATTTCTATGTTGTCACCAAACAGGATGAGAAGCTTAGAATGCATTAATTGATTTTCCCCTCTCTTCCTCCGTGTGGCTATAATCAAGTGTTTCAGTTTCACTTTAACACTCTGATTAGTCATTGTTGTTATTCTTGTACAGGCAAATATTTAGTTTTACTCATACGCTTACCTTTGTTTTTCTCGTTATTGCTTTCTTATTCCACTCCCTCCTTCTGGCTTCAATTTCCTTCTTTTAGAAACACACGCTTTCATAGTTTTTCAGCCAGAGTTTGTGAATGGCAAGCTCTGTCTCTTTTTGTTAAAAAAAAAAAAGGCTTTATTTTGCCCTCATTCATAAATGATGATTTTGCTGAATTAGCTGCTATTGATTTAGCTGAGTAGTTATATTTCCCAAACCCTTGGAATGTATTTTTCTGATGCCAGCGTAATTGTCTTTCTTTTGCAGGCACTATCTCTTCTCTGGCTGTTTTTCTTCTGTTAAAGTATTCTATTTTAAGGTGTTCTGTTGTCTAGGCATGGATTAACTTTTTACCTATTATTCTTGGAATTCACCATGCTTCTTTATCCTGAGAACTTGTTTTCAAGTCTGGAAAATTCTAAGCCCTTATTTATTGCAACATTATTTCTCCTCCATTCTCTCTATCCTTTCTTTCCTTAACTTCTAAATAGATTTGTACTGAAACTTCTAATTCTATCCTCCATGTATCTTTAGGCCTCATATTTCTCATCTCTATCTCTGTGGTGCTTTCTGGGTAATTTCCTAGGTCTACATTTCAATTATTTAATGATCTCTTCAACTCTGTCTATTTTCATGTTTAAGTAAATCGAGTTTTTAGTCTTAGTTTCTTTACTTTTATTTTCATACATTCTGATTTTTTTTCACATTCACTTGAGTTAGTACAGACTAGGTTATGCTACAGAAAGAAAATAATCCCAAATTTCCCAATCTCCATGATTGAATACAGCAATAGTTTATTTCTCACTCCTTTGTACCCAGTGGATTTTGGTGGGGTCTGTTCTACACGGTCACTCAGAGACCAAGGACGAAAGAGGCTCCATCATCTAGCAGTTGCACTACCTGGAATATGAGGCTTACTGGGTGTCTGCAACAGGGAAACGGACATCTGGAGGATGTCACATTAGCTATCCTATGGCCAATATTGGAATTAACACGCAGCACCACCTGCCACAGACCACTGGCCAGAACAAGTCATGTAGCTCTACCAAGTGCCAGTGCATGGGGAATTTTGGTAGTGCTTCGTATGTGATGATCGACACTATTTCCTTTTCCATTTATTGTATTTTATCATTGTGTTCTACTCCTTCTTTCATCTCTTTAAAACAAGTAAAATGCTTAGAACAATGCTTACCATGTAGTAAGAACTTCACAGAAGTGTTTTCTAACATTTTAAGTACAATTTATTTTTAACAGATTTTACAAGTTCTCATAGTCTAATTCTTTCCTTCAATGTGGAATATTTATTCACATAGATCATTTTTTTTTCATTATAAGCTTATTCTCAATGAGTGTTCCGTTTCCTGTGGTGAACTTGTGCTCTGTGGGTTGGGGAACGATTCCCTATAGAGCACATGTGTCTTCTGTGCTTTTATTGCCTTTTTATCAGTTCAAAGGTGAGCTTCTACCATGTGTGCTGGGTAAATATAGACCCCACACCTGGAATTTTGATTTTTCATATAAACTTTTTGTTTTCTTTTCTTCCCAAGAACTCTGAGTAGATACAATGCTTTCTTGCTGCTTCCACAGGCTAATGAATAGTTTTTTCTCTCCCCTCTTCATGGGTACTCTACATAGGGTGCTTTCCAACACTACAACCGATTCTCTGATTCTCTGGACACCAGAGTGTCCAACAGTTCAGATCAATTCTGACACTAACTACCTGGAGTTATCACAGACCTCACAGCCTAATGGCTCAGTCTCATAAGACTGCCCCTGCTTCAGTGCCAGGCCTCCTGTACTTCTGGCCAACTGGCTATAAATAGGGGTTCCCATGCCTCTCTCCTCATGTTTGATAGTTTGCCAGGACAGCTCACAGAACTCAGGAATGCACTTTACTTACATTGACCAGCTTATTATAAAGGATGCAAATGAGCAACCAGATGAGTTCCAGGCATATAGGGAACATAGGAAAAGGTCTGAAGGGTCCTAAGTGCAGGAGCTTCTGTTCTATGGAGTTGAGGTGCCCCCATCTCCTGGCACATGGATGTGTTCAACCCGGAAGCTCCCTGAACCCCATCGTTTAGAGGTTTTTTATGGAGGTTGGATCACATAGGCACACTCTATTATTAACTCAATCTCCAGCCCCTCTTCCCTCCTGGGGAGGATGGGGTGGTGTGGGAGGGTAGAGTGATGCTAAAAATTCTAGGCTTCGTATCAAGGCTTGGTCCTTTTGGTAACCAGTCGCCATTCTGAAGCTGTCTAGAAGCCCACCAAAAGTAACCTCATTGGAACAAAAGATACTCCTATCACCTAGCAAGTTCCAAGCAATTTAGGAATTCTCTATCAGGAACCAGGGATGAAGACCAAATAGAAGTTTCTTATTATGCCATAGGTACTATTTGGTATAGAAGTTCAGCTTTCTACCTCCATCAGCCTGAGAACATCTCATCTTCACCTGTGGATGTTAAATCCCTAAGCCAAGCCATGAGGACCGATGTCCTGTTCCCAAGCCCACTGGACTGCTCAGCCATTGCTCTTGACAGTCTGACTTGGAGTTTTCTCTTCTCTGGAATCTGAGAGTTTCCTTTTCTTTATTTTGAGCTCAGCTGGATATTAAAAAATTATATTACAGTTTCTACAACATTTCTATCTATTTGAAGCAGCAGAGGAACATTCATTTCCTTAAACTTCCATGTTGCTAGAAGTTTTAAGAGGTTATATTTTAGAATCCTACTTGTAATCCTATTTATTTTTTGTGTTAATGTACATCTTAGGACCAACTGCCACAGCAGTCAGATTCCAAGCATCAAAAAGATTTAGATATCCTACTTTTGCACATTCTAGTTTTTCTTATGCTGTCAGTATCCATCACTGGCTACTTTTTTCTATATTTGCAAATATTTCCGGGGTCCATATTTTAATTCCTAATTGCCATAGAGATTCATTTTATTAAACAATAAACATCCATCTACTGGTAGGAAGACATCCTTCCAACAAAAATTTAGCTCTGACTACGTATGAAGCGTTCTGCAATGCCCTAAAAGGAAAATAAAGATGAATCAGCCTCAGATACTGCCCCAAGTAGCTCGCAGTCTATCTAGCAGGAGAAATACAACATGTGCACAAATAACCCTAAGACCAGGTGGACCACGGTGGTGGCTGAAGAGACCTGGGGAAGAGTGTTTGGAGAATTCAGAGACGGGAACGCTCACGTATATGGAGGGAGGAATTGGAGGAGGTTTCACAGAGGTGGCATTTGCATTGATCCTGAAGGATAGTGTATTGTTTTCTATCGCTGCCATAACAGATGACCACAAATTTAATGGATTAAAATCACACCTATTTTTATTATTCCACAGTTCTGTAGGTTAGAAGTGTGGGTACATGTGGCTCTACTCAGTCCTCTGCTTAGAGTTTCACGAGGTCAAAATCAAGGTTTTGGCAGGGCCGTGTTCCTTTTGGGAGTTTCTGGGGATGAATCTGCTTCTAAGCTCATTGTTGGCCGTTCCTTACAGTTGTAGGACTAAGGTCTTCACTTCCTTGCTGGCTGTTAGCTGGGGGCTGCCCACCTTCTCCTCATGCTTTCCACGTAGCCTTCAGCAATGGGGGTCAAGTCCCTCTCACGCTCCCAATCTTTCTGTTGAGTTCTGCCACTTCTCTTCTGACTCCAGCGGGAGAAAGTTCTGTGCTTTTAAGGGCTCATGTGATTAGATTGGGTGCACCTGGATGATCTGGGCTACTCTGGCTTTTTTTTTTTTTTTTTTTTTTGACAGAGTCTTGCTCTGCCACCCAGGCTGGAGTGCAGTGACACAATCTTGGCTCACTGCAACCTCCGCCTCCTGGGTGCAAGCAATTCTCCTGCCTCAGCCTCCCTGTAGCTGGGATTATAGGCATGCACCATCACACCTGGCTAATTTTTGTATTTTCAGTAGAGACAGGATTTTGCCATGTTGTCCAGGCTGGTCTCTAACTCCTGACCTCAAGTGATCCACCTGCCTCGGCCTCCCAAAGTGCTAGGATTACAGGCGTGAGCCACCGTACCCAGCTGTACTCTGGCTATTTTAAATTCTGTAACCTCAATTACATCTGCCAAGCCTCTTTTGCAATGCAACATGATATATTTACAAGATGCAGGGATTGGGGCATCTTTGAGGGGCCATTATCCTGCCTCAGTATGGATAGACTTTACATCTGCTGAGCCATGCCAGAGGGCTCTTCAGCAAGAGGGAGTGGGAAGAACAAAACCATAGAGGCAGTAAACCACATGGAAGGGGCAGTGAGAACAGCCAGCCTTGCCTGGGGTGCTAACCAGTTAGTTTCCTCCAAATGATGAGATATGTGTGCAAGCTCTTGCACAGAGTAAGACCTTCTGAACCAGAGAAAGCCAGCCACAGATTCCTGTCCTAGGGCATGTAGGCGTTCCCCGCTGCTCATCTCAGTTCTGTCAGGGAGATTGCTGTTGTAGCGTTTCTACACTTCCTGTGTACACCCTGTTCCTCCAGATGTAACAATGTAGAGCCAAGCACCTTCAACAAATAAAATTTATTTACTATTACATTTGTTGCACAAAGTACTGGCAAATCAGAAGAAGAATATAATAGTTGCCCATAATCCGGACACTCAGAACAACTGTTAACACTGGTGTTTTATGAGGTGCCTTTAACAGGCAGCTTTCCGTGTCTATTAATGTTCTTTCTCAATGGTATTTTCTATTGTATGGATGGCACTGTAGTTTATTTAATGGACATTTGGCTTACTCCCAAGTGGTTTTGCTCTCATAAACATGGCTGAGATAGCATAACAAGAGTTGTTTTGACAGTCATGTTAAACAGGATGTCAGCAGGCCCTCAGTGGGAATGCGAAGGGGAACTTGGGGTGGTACAGCTGTGTGAGGGTGAGTGGCTCCTTTCCTAGTTTCTTCATCCTGGCCTCTTAGCTAAACCCCTGTGTACTGCTTTGTTGTTAACTTGGTCCAGCTGCACCCGAGAGCTCATTGAATGGTTCACTTAAGAGCTATGCATTTCACTATGTGTAAATAATCCTCAATATTTTTTAAAATTAAGTATGTCCTAGTTCCAAACCAGCAAGATCTTGCTGTTTTTGTGCACATTCACATAAATGGGATTGGATGTAATAAAAACCAAAAAAAAAAAAAAAAAGGCACAGAGAGGAGCTGGCTGGGCGCTGGCCTCCAGCATGGGACGGTAAAGGGAGTAGTTACTGGGAACAGGCTCAGTTTGGTGAGGGGTGGCCACCACACTGCTTTGGCCCTCAGCCGCCTCATTTGCATGAAGCCCCACCTTGCTGGCTTGTGCTGTGGTGGGGGGTTAAGACCCCGTATATAAAAGTCCAGCATGGCACCTGAGATGAGACAGGGAGTCAACATAGAGGAGCCATTCTTGAACCTCCAGGAACTTTTCCGGGGAGGTGCAGTCGGCGCTGGGCTGCTGTGCTCTGTGGTTTCCCCTGTGGGTTGGTGGTGAGTCAAGGGCCCCCTGGGAAGAGCAGAAAGAAGACAGGCGCTGGGGATGTTGCTAACTGCTTATTTCTGAGGGTCAGAAAAACCTCAACTCAGTACAGCTGGGCTGTGCCCTTCAAGGGTGGAGCCTGAGGGTGGAGTTAAGTAGAGAGAACTCTGGAAGGGGGTGAGGCAGGGGCCAGAGGAACTGGCAATTCTGCCTGAAGGAGGTGGGCCTAGGGTGCCAGGGGAAGATATCTTTTTCTTCCCAAAGCAAAAAAAAAAAGGAAAAATGACAAGAGCTCTGCTCAGAGCCTGGCTCAGGGCTGCTTAAATGTCTCTGCTGGCACCACTATCCTAGCCACTGCCTTTACAATTTCATGTGGGAAATGAACACGCTTACTATGATGAAATATCAATCTCATGCAGATTTTGAAGGGATTACGTATACACACATCTGCTTTGGCTTTGAGGTTATTTATATTTGAACAGCAAGCTGCGTGCCTTAAGTTCTAGTTATTAGGAATGTGTAGGCCATGGTTTATACTGATGCCAACCTGCTTGCCTACATACTGTAGGGTGAACCATATCACCCATAGAAAACAAATTGATAGTGATGAAACAAATATAAATTATCATTAAAGACCAAAAAGACCAGCAATTTTAAATCACGACCCATTCAAGACAACAGTGATGGTCCTTTGATTACACTGCGTCCTTCTAAATGACTACCAATGGGGACTTCCAGTGACTTTTGTGGACACTTACCCCATGGAAGTCTGCAGGATGGCTTGCTGCTGCAGGTAACTCTGGGCAGAAGAGTGGGTTGGCACCCCCTTTAAGCCTGACAAAATTCCTCATGTGAGTTTATGAGTTCCAAATAATAGTAATAAACTCAATAACTCACTAGGTAGGTGTTTGGTAAATGATCTTTTGATGTAAAAATGAAATTGTATAAACATTAAAGGAGGATCAGTGAGTGGCTTATCGGAACCATCCTCCCAGTATTCCCCGGGGTTAAATGTTATACCCTGAGAAGGCTTGACAAGAGCTCTGAATCATCTGAGCTGGTTATTGAAAATGCAGGTTCAGGGCCCCCCTTGCAGAGATTCTGGTTAAATAAATCTAGAGTGAGACCCAAGAATCTGAATTTTAAACAAGCCCTGGAGGTGATTCTGATGCATGTGGTCTGCAGATACAAATTGATGGAAAATGCCCAAAGAGAATGGGGCCCCTCTCTGCCAGGTGTTAAGAGCACCTGCTATTCTGAGCAAATGCTATTCTGAGAGCATTTGCAGGCTGGAGTCTGCCTTTATGAGCTCTGGGTGGGAAGGTAGTTCAGGCTGGTTTATACAGCCACATACAGGGAAGACAGTGAAGAATGCCCAAACATAGGGGGTGCTCTATGCTGGAGAAATGTTTAGTTTAATCCTTGAGTTGCGACAGGTTGGCAGGAACTAAAGATCTCTTAGAGAGGGATGGGCCTGAGGCATGAGAGACGCAGAGGCCAGGTCCAGAGATGCAGCGTGGAAGGGAGGGGACCATGGAGAAGGATAGAAGGACATAGCAGAGGGGATAAAGAGAAAAAAACGCATGTACACATGACACCTATTATAATTATATGTTGAGGGCTTTGCCTGTGTCAGCCCATTCACTCCTCAGCACAGCAGTCTAAGATGGCAATAACATTCGTTTTTTACATGAGGAGACAGTGGCTCCCAAAGGTTAGAATAAGAATGGAAGTCAGAGTTTTATTTCAGGACCATGTGGTTCCTAAGCTCTCACTCTTGATTTTGTGTTTCTTTAGGCAAGTAAATGATGTTTAGCCACTATACCCATCTATATACGTATTCATTATTTCATTCATTCACTCAACATGAATGAGCTCCTGCTAAGTGCCAGGCACTGAGACAGGGGCTGAGGATTGACAGGTGGACAAAAGAGACACTGCCTTAGATCTTAATAGGAAACATGAATATTAAACAGTCAGACACGTAACTATAATTTTGCAAAGAGTTGGAAGAACTGAAAAGGAAAATTGCAGGTTCTGTGAGAAATAAAGCGGGGACCCTTAATTTAGAGTGGAGGGTCAGAAAAGGCCTCTATGGAATGTTGGACTTGAAGGATGGGTAGGAATTAGCTAAGCTCAAGTGTGGGGAAAAATGTCCCAGAACTGTGCTGTCCAAAAGAACTGTTGTGCTGTCCAATATGGTAACCATCAGCCACATGTGACTAGCAAGCACTTAAAACGTGTCTAGTGTGACTGAGAAATAAATCTTAAGTTTTGTTTAATTTTAATTAATGAAAAAATACATATTTCTTAAAAACCACATGTGGCTAGTGGCATCTGTATTGGACAGCACAGCTCTAGAACAAATGGGAAGTTTAAGCAAAGGACCTGAACTGAAAAAGGGTTTGATGGCTTCCAGAAGCCTAATTTGTGGTGGGTACAGTGGGGAGACTGAGACAGCATGAGGCCTGAAGGGAACAGGGCTCAGAGTGTGCAGACACTTGAAGGAACAGGGCTCAGACTGTGCAGACACTCAAGGGAGCAGGGCTCAGAGCATGCAGGCACTTGCAGGCCTCATGAGGGGTTTTCAATTTTACTGCAGTGGGGAAGTTGTTGAAGGATTTTGAGGAGAAGAGTAACTTGGTCAATTTTTGTTTTAAGATCACTTTTCACTGTAGCAAACGGATCAGAGGGAGCTAAAGTTAGAGAAAGGAAACCAAGGAGTAAATATTGTCATTTCCTAAGAAAGAGATGTTGGTGGCTCAGCTTAAGGTGGATACTGTGGAAATGAAGAGACATGGGTGGATGTGGTATAATTTCTAGATAGAATGGATGGAACACACAGTTTTAAACATACAGAATCCAGTAGCCTAGGCCTGTGTTGTCTAATATGGTAGCCGTTAGCCCCTTGTGGCTCCTTAAATTTAAATTAATTAAAATTAAATGAAATAAGTCTTTCTGCACTGTACCATTCACATTTCAAGTGCTCAAAGGCAACACGTGACCAGTGGCTGCCATTATTGTACAGGGTAGCCTTTAGTGAACATTCCTGTCATTGTAGAAACCTCTACTGGGTAGTGCTAAAGTCACTTGGAGAAATGTTTAAAAATGGATCTAGAAGAGGTCATCAGGTCCAACACCCTCACCGTGGAGGTGACATGCTGGGGGACACTCAGCTGATTCCTGGGTGTTGCTGGAGTGGTGCCTAAACCAGGCTCTCGGGTGGCAACCTTTTCCACCCAAAGCATCAGAAGCATCATGGGCAGAATTGCCTGCTTCCCCAAGGGCTTTGTATCCTGAGAGAAAGGCCCTGCTCCAAGAGCACAGGGCAAAGCAGTTCTCACTCCTCCCCAGGCTTTTATCCAAGAGAGGGGAATGGGAGCAGAGGGGAAGGGCACATGGGTGGAGTAATGAGACCCACTTGTCAGAAGGCTAAACTAAAGCGTTACCAGCGGTGTTTGTCTAAGGAAAGGCTTCTGAAAGGCTCAGGCCTGATTTTGACTCAAACCATTTAATAATTCTATGGCAGCCTGAAAAAGAAAGGCTGAGATAGAAACAACAGAAATACAACCACCATTATTGTTTCCAGCTAACATGGCCTATCACTGGAGGCTCAGAGAACGTGTCTTTAGTTACTTCTGCAGAAAATAATGCATTGCTTTCTGAAAGCCACACACCACCCAGGCCACTCAGTCCATCCCCTCACTCAAGAAACACCACAGAAATGGATTCCAGAGAAATCCGATCAGCATACCCTTGCCACACAAGGCAGGACCCCAAGTGACCCTTGTTGTCTCCAGAAAGCATAAGGAAGAAGAAGAAAAAAAAATCCAAGGTACCAAATCCTCCTGGTGACCTAGTAATCTGGGAACAATTAAGCGAGTTCACAGGAAGTAAGTAAAGCGAGGAAAAAACTTTGTTTTCATCACCTCTGAGTTTCTAGTTAGGGACAGGGCTTGGCTCAGATAAGTCAAAAGGAGGGGAGTGGGGAGCTGCTGGAGGAGCAGGCTTGGGGAGGAGAGGAATGCACAGTGGGAGGATACCTTGGTTTGCTAAAGCTGGGACACACTTCACTGTGGGACCATGGGTTGATCTCCACCTCCCCTACCCTGGCAGCTCAGGACTGCAGGACTCAGGGTCACAGGCCCTAGGAGATGACCAGATCCCACCTCAATGGCAGCAGTGGTGCCCTGACTGTCTTCTAGTATTTCTTGTTGCCCTGTGCCCTCTTGGAGTATGGACAGATGACGCATGACTATGCCACCTCCATGTGTCATATCCCTCGGTCAATACTTGAATTTCCATCTCTCACATTTGTATTGTCATTACTCTTGAATAGGATAACAAGGATGGGCTACCATTAGTTGAGTATTGCCTATGTGCTGGGTGCATTGCTAAGGGCTTCATGTGCATTATCTCAATTAAACTTCACAATCACCCTATGGGACTATTGTTATCTCCACTTTACCAGTGAAGAAAATGAGGCTCAGAAAAGTGAATATGATATAGCAATCATTCTCCTGGGTATTTGCCCAATTGAGTTGAAGACTTAGATCCACAAAAAAACCTGCACATGGATGTTTACAGCAGTTTTATTTGTAATTGCCAAAACTTGGAAGCAACCAAGATTTCCTTCAGTAGGCGAATGGATAAATAAACTGGTACATCCAGAGAATGGAGTATTATTCATTACTAAAAGAAAATGAGCTATCAAACCATGAAAAGGCATGGAGGAAGCTTAAATGCATGTCACTAAGTGAAACAGCCAATCTGAAAAGGCTACATATTGTGTAATTCCAACTACATGGCATTATGAAAAAGGCAAAACTATGGAGACAGTAGAAGCATCAGTGGTTATCAGGGGTCTGGGGGCAACAAAGGATGAACAGGTGAAGAACAGAGGATTTTTAGGGCAGTGGAACTACTCAGCATGATGTTGTAATGGTGGATGCATGTCATTATACATTCGTCCAGACCCTTAGAATGTACACCAAGAGTGAACACTAATGCAAAGTATGAACTTTGGGTGATAATGATGGGTCTGTGTAGGTTCATCAATTGTAACTAATGTACCGCTTCAGCATGGGATGTTGACAGTGGAGGAAGCTGGGGTTGGGGGTGATATATGGGAAATCTCTGTACTTCCAACTCAATTTTTTTGGGAACCTAATACTGCTCTAAAAATTAAAGTCTAGCCGGGCACAGTGGCTCATGCCTGTAACCCCAGCACTTTGGGAGGCTGAGGCGGGAGGATTGCTTGAGCCCAGGAGTTTGAGACTGGCCTGGGCAACATAGCAAGACCCTGTCTCTACAAAACTGAAAGATTAGCTGGGCATAGTGGCATGTGCCTGTGTTCCCAGCTACTCAGGAGGCTGAGGTAGGAGGACTACTTGAGCCCAGGAGGTCAAGGCTGCAGTGAGTCATGTTTATGCCACTGCACTCCAGCGTAGGTGATAGAAGGAGACCCTGCCTGAAAAACAAAAAGTCTATATTAAAAATAAAAGCATCAGCATCTGTTCAAGGTCCCCGCACTAGTGACCAGTGTAGCTGGAACCCAAGTGCCGGGCTCTTCAACTTCAGATACTACGTTCTCCACCTTTATGGTGTCCCATATCACTGCAGGCTTTCATACCTCACAAATACTTTTGTTTTTAATTAACCACTTTAGTTCACAGTGATCCTATGATGTCAGCATTAATTCTATTTTCCAGATAAGGAAATAGGCTCAGAGAAGTTAACTAATTCACTCACGTCATGTACTGGGTGGGTAAGTAGCTGAGTCAGAGCTTGAATCTGGGCTGAACTACTCAAATCTCTGTGCTCTTCTCAAATAACACACATCATCCAGACACTCATCTGATTAAGCAGACACACAGTGCTGTCTGAGCTGATTACTGCACCTGCAGTAATCGCCAGGGATAGCGATATGACTCTATCAATATGACCTATCCATATGACTTCTGCTAGACCTTAAGTCATTCCACCAGCTGCTGGCAGTAGTTGGAGCCTATGTAGATGTGGGCCACATCACCACCAAAGCAAGGTGCATGAAAAATGCTTTGTCAGTGGTTCACACCTAGAAAACAGGGGTGTGTGACTAGTGGAGAGAGAAGGAAAGAGGGTGGTAACTGGGTTAGTGTGCTGAAAAACCGATATCCAAGCCCAGCACCTCACTTCTCACCAGAGAAGGCTCAGCTCTTCTACCCACTGAGCCTTCGGATGTGGGGCCATGGGTAGCCAGACCTCCTGGTTATAGGGGAAAGCTTACAGCAGCAATGGTCATGGAGAAGGCCCTTTGGAAACACTGAAGAACATTTAAAACTCCCTTCTCTCGGCTGGGCATGGTGGCTCACGCCTGTAATCCCAGCACTTTGGGAGGCCGAGGCAGGCAGATCACACGGTCAAGAGATCGAGACCATCCTGGCCAACATGGTGAAACCCCATCTCTACTAAAAATACAAAAATGAACTGGGCATGGTGGCACGTGCCTGTAGTCCCAGCTACTCAGGAGGCTGAGGCAGGAGAATCGCTTGAACCTGGGAGGTGGAGGTTGCAGTGAGCTGAGATAGTGCCACTACACTCCAGCCTGGAGAGAGAGCGAGACTCCATCTCAAAAAACAAACAAACAAACACAACAACAACAACAACAACAACAAGAACAAAACTCCCTTCTGTCTCTGTCCTTTCTCTAAAGGCAGTTTGACAATGTCCTTCTTTCCCTCGTAAGTGGAGAACTTGCCTGATTTTAATCCTGGGCACATGCTGGTCTCCTCTCTCCTTCTGGCCCTCTTTCTTCCCCTTGCTTCTAGGCCACATGCCTTTCCTTATTCTCTCCTAGGAAGGGAGGAGATGGAGGGAGCTGCCCATGTTTTCCTTGAGTTTTGGCAAGAGTGTAGGGTTTTAAACCTCAGTGTTAACTAACCACTCCAGAATACTGCAGGAATAAACCAGGAAAGCCAAGAGAACCCACAGACCCTCTGAAGGAAGTGGATTGCCCCTGCAAAACCCGGGAGACAGCCCAAATACTGTGAGTGCCTAAGCTGTGGAGGTGGGAAAGGGGGATCGTCTGCCCCCAAACACATACCCTCACTGGGGAACCTGAGGGTCTAAATTATGGGAGAAGATTCTGACCTTACCTGGAGCTAAGTCAATTTAGAAAGCTGAGCAAAATACAGTGGTAGAGGAAGCAGTGGCAAAAACCCTGTGGGCTCTGAGTCTCCTGGGAAGCTATTTCAGACTTGTCTGACAGGGGTCCTTGGGGAGGGGAGGAACTAAGAAAAGACCACAGGGAGAAGGAAATCTCCAGCTGAACTTTGTAAAAATTCCAACCAAACGCAAAGTTTCCTGGCCAGAACTCAGGGGAGGGCATGAATCTGTTGTGCAGAATCCACAGGTGGGGAAGCACAAAAGCCCTACTTGCTTTTGCAGCTGGGAGGCTTGTAGCCTGGGGCAAGTTCTCAGCCCTGTTCACCTGCTGGCTGGAAACAGACTGTTGCTGTTGATGGGGCTGGGTGGGACACAGTGGGAGTGAGACCCACTTTTTGGGTCATGTGGAAGCTGGTTGAAGAGTGTGACTTCTGGATTTCTCCCACTTCCTTGACCACCTGCATGACATAGCAGAGGCAGCCATAATCCTCCTAGGAACATAACTCCAATGACCTGGGAACCACAGCCCCAACCCCCACAGCAGCTGCAGCAAGACCCACCCAAGGCTCAGACACGTCGAGCCCCACCCCCACCTGATGGTCCTTCCCTATCCACCCTGGTAGCTGAAGACAAAAGGCATATACTCTTGGGTGTTATAGGACCCCCAACCCACCGCCTGATCCTCCCTATACTACCACAGCTGATGCTCTCTTGAAAGCACCACCCCCTGGCAGGAGGCCAACCAGCACAAAAACAGTGCATTAAACAACCCAAACTACGGACCCTCTCAGAGTCCAATTCACCCCCTGCCACCTCCACTGGAGCAGGTGTTGGTACCCACAGCTGAGAGACCGAAAGACAGTTCACATCACAGGACTCAGTGCAGACAACCTGTAGTACCAGCCTGAAGCCTGGTAGACTTGCTGGGTGGATAGATCCAGAAGAGAGATAACAATCGCTACAGCTCGGCTCCCAGAAAGCCACATCCCTAGGAAAAGGGGGAGAGTACTACATCAAGGGAACACCCTGTGGGACAAAATAATCTGAACAGCAGCCTTGAGCCCTAAATCTTCCCTCTGACATAGCATACCAAATGAGAAGGAACCAGAAAAACAATTCTGGTAATATGACAAAACAAGGTTCTTTAACAGCCACCCCCCAACCCCTGCCAAAATCACACTAGCTCACCAGCAATAGATCCAAACCAAGAAAAAATCCCTGATTTACCTGAAAGAGAATTTAGAAGTTCAGTCTTAAGCTAATCAAAAATGCACCAGAGAAAGCTGAAGTCCAATTTAAGGAAATAAAAAAAAATGATACAAGAAATAAGGGGAGAAATCTTCAGTGAAATAACTAGCATAAATAAAAAACAATCACAACTTCAGGAAATAAAGGACGCACTTAGTGAAATGCAAAATGTCCTGAAAAGCCTCAGCAATGGAATCAAACAAGAAGAAAGAACTTCAGAGCTTGAAGACAATGTTTTCAAATTAACCCAATCCAACACAGACAAAGAAAAAAGAATAAGAAAAAATGAACAAACCCTCTAAGAAGTTTGGGATTATGTTAAGCAACCAAACCTAGGAATAACTGAGATTCCTGAGGAAGAAGAGAAATCTAAAAGTTTGGAAAACATATTTGGGGAAATAATTGAGAAAAATTTATTTGGCCTTGCTAGAGACCTAGACATCCAAATACAAGAAGCTCATATAACACCTGGGAAATTCATTACAACAAGATTATCACCTAGGGACATGGTCATCACGTTACCTAAAGTCAAGACAAAGGGAAAGAATCTTAGAAGCTGTGAGGCAAAAGCACCAGGTAACCTATACAGGAAAACCTGTCAGATCAACAGCAGATTTCTCACTAGAAACCCTACAAGCTAGAAGGTATTGGGGCCCTATCTTCAGCCTCGTTAAACGAAACAATTAGCAGCCAAGAATTGTGTATCCAGCAAAACTGAGCTTCATAGATGAAGGAAAGATACAATCTTTTTCAGACAAACAAATGCTGAGAGAATTCACCACTACCAAGCCAGGACTACAAGAACTGTTAAAAGGAGTTACAAATCTTGAAACAAATCCTGGAAACACATCAAAACAGAACCTCTTTAAAGCATAAATCACACAGGACCTATAAAATAAAAATACAAAAAAAAGAACAATTAAAAAGACAAGGTATACAGGCAACAAATAGCATGATGAATGGAATAGTACCTCGCATCTCAATTCTAGCACTGAATGTAAATGGCCTAAATGCTCCACTTAAAAGATACGAATTGCAGAGTGGATAAGAATTCCCAACCAACTCTCTGCTGCCTTCAAGAGACTCACCTAACACATATGGACTCATATAAACTTAAGATAAAAGGATGGAAAAAGACATCCCATGCAAATGGACACCAAAAGTGAGCAGGAATAGCTATTCTTACATCAGACAAAACAAACTTTAAAGTAACAGTAGTTAAAAAAGACAAAGTAGGACATTATATAATGATAAAAGGCCTTGTCCAACAGGGAAATATCCCAACCCTAAATATATATGCACCTAACACTGGAGCACCCAGATTTATGAAATTACTACTAGATCTAAGAGATGAGATAGACAGCAACATAATAATAGTGAGGGACTGCAATACTCCACTGACAGCACTAGACAGGTCATCAAGACAGAAAGTCAACAAAAACACGATGGATTTAAACTATACCCTCGAACAAATGGACCTAACAGACATTTATAGAATATTCTACTGAACAACTGCTGATTACACATTCTATTCACCAGCTCATGGAACTTTCTCCAAGATAGACCATATGATAGGCCACAAAACAAGTCTTGATAAGTTTAAGAAAATAGAAATTATGTCAAGTACTCTCTTAGACCACAGTGGAATAAAACTGGAAATCAACTCTAAAGGAACATTCAAAACCATGCAAATACATGGAAATTAAATAACCTGCTCCTGAATGATCATTGGGTCAACAATGAAATCAAGATGGAAATTTAAAAATTCTTCAAACTGAACGATAATAGTGACACAACTTATCAAAACCTCTGGGGTATAGCAAAGGCAGTGCTAAGAGAAAAGTTCATAGCCCTAAATGCCTACCTCAAAAAGTCTGAAAGAGCACAAATAGACAACCTGAGGTCACACCTCAAGGAACTAGAGAAACAAGAACAAACCAAACCCAAACCCAAAAGAAGAAAGAAAATAACCAAGGTCAGAGCAAAACTAAATGAAATTGAAACAAACAAACAAAAAACAATACAAAAGATAAATGGAACAAAAAGCTGATTCTTTGAAAGATAAATAAAATTGACATACCATTAGCAAGATTAACCAAGAAAAGAAGAGAGAAAATCCAAATAAGCTCAAAAGGGGAGCTATTATAACTGATACCACAGAAATACAAAAGATCATTCTAGGCTACTATGAACACCTTTACGTGCAAAAACTAGAAAACCTAGAGGAGATGGATAAATTCCTGGAACGATACAACCTTCCTACCTTAAATCAGTAAGAATTAGATATCCTGAACAGAACAATAAAAAGCAGCAAGATTGAAATGGTAATAAAAAAATTACCAACAAAAAAGTCTAGGACCAGACTGATTCTCAGTTGAATTCTACCAGACATTCAAAGAAGAATTGGTACAAATCCTATTGATGGTATTCCACAAGATAAAGAGGGAATCCTCCCTAAAGCATTCTATGAAGCATGTATCACCCTAATACCAAAACCAGGAAAGGACATAACAAAAAAAGAAAACTACAGACCAATATCCCTGAGGAACATAGATGCAAAAATCCTTAACAAAATATTAGCTAACTGAATCCATCAACATATCAAAAAGATAATCCACCATGATCAAGTGGGTTTCATACCAGGGATACAGGGATGCTTTAACATACACAAGTCAATAAATGTGATACATCACATAAACAGAATTAAAAACAAAAATCTCATGATTATCTCAACAGCCACATAAAAAGCATTTGACAAAATCCAGCATCGCTTTAAGATTGAAACTCTCAGCAAAATTGGCATACAAGGGACATACCTTAATGTAATAAAAGCCATATATGACAAACCAACAGACAACATAATACTAAATGGGTAAAAGTTGAAAGCATTCCGTCTGAGAACTGGAACATGACAAGGATGCCCACTCTCACCACTTTTATTGAACATAGTACTGGAAGTCCTAGCCAGAGCAGTTAGACAAGAGAAAGAAATAAAAGGCATCCAAATCAGGAAGGAGGAAGTCAAACTGTTGCTGTTTGCTGATAATATGAATGTATACCTAGAAAACCCTAAAGACCCCTCCAAAGAGCTCCTAGAACTGATAAGTGAATTCAGCAAAGTTTCAGGATACAAAATTAATGTACCCGAATCAGTAGCTCTTCTATACACCAACAGAAACCAAGCTGAGGATCAAATCAAGAACTGAACCCCTTTTACAATAGCTGCGAAAAAAAAAATAGGAATATACCTAACCAAGGATATGAAAGACCTCTACAAGAAAAACTACAAAACACTGCTGAAAGAAATCATAGATGACACAAACAAATGGAAACGCATCCAATGCTCATGAATGGGTAGAATCAATATTGTGAAAATGACCATACTGCCAAAAGCAATCTACAAATTCAATGCAATTCCCAACAAAATGCCACCATCGTTCTTCACAGAACTAGAAAGAACAATCCTAAAATTCATATGAAACCAAAAAAGAGTGTGCATAGCCACAGCAAGACTAAGCAAAAAGAACACATCTGGAGGCATCACATTACCTGATTTCAAAGTATACTATAAGGCTACAGTCACCAAAACAGTAAGGTACTGGTATGAAAATAGGCACATAGCCCAATGGAACAGAATTGAGAACACAGAAACAAACCCAAACACTTACAGCCAACTGATCTTCAACAAAGCAAACAAAAAACTTAAAGTGGGGAAAGGGCACCCTATTCAACAAATGGTGCTGGAATAATTGGCTAGCCACATGTAGGAGAATGAAACTAGATCCTCATCTCTCACTTTATACAAAAATCAACTCAAGATGGAATGAGGCTTAAATCTAAGACCTGAAACTTTATAGTTTTATAAATTCTAGAAGATAACATTGGAAAAACCCTTCTAGACATTGGCTTAGGCAAGGATTTCATGACGAAGAGTCCAAAAGCAAATGCAATAAAAACAAAGATAAATAGGCAGAATTTAATTAAACTAAAGAGCTTTTGCATGGCAAAAGGAACAGTCAGCAGAGTAAACAGACAACCCACAGAGTGGGAGAAAATCTCCACAATCTATACATCTGACAAAGGACTAATATCCAGAATCTACAATGAACTCAACAAATTAGCAAGAAAACAAACAAAAAATCCAATCAAAATTGGGCTAAGGACATGAATGGACAATTCTCAAAAGAAGATATGCAAATGGTCAACAAGCATAAGAAAAAATACTCAACATCACTAATGATCAGGGAAATGCAAATCAAAACCACAATGTGATACCATCTCGCTCCTGCAAGAATGGCCATAATCAAAAAATAAAAAAATAATAGATTTTGGCGTGGATGTGGTGAAAAGGGAACACTTCTACACTGCTGGTGGGAATGTAAACTATACAAACACTATAGAAAACAGTGGAGATTCCTTAAAGAACTAAAAGTAGAACTACCATTTGATCCAGCACTCCCACTACTGGGTATCTACCCAGAGGAAAAGAAGTCATTACATGAAAAAGATATTTGCACAAGCATGTTTATAGTTCCACAATTGCAAAAATGTGGAACTAACCCAAATTCCCATCAATCGATGAGTGGTTAAAGAAACTATGGTATATATGTATCACATCAATCAATGAGTGGATAAAGAAACTGCGGTGTATATATATATACATATATATATATACACACACACACACATATATATACACACACATATATACATATATGTATACATACATATATGTGTATGTATGTGATGGAAAACTACTCAGCGATAAAAAGGAATGAAATAATGGCATGTGCAGCAATCTAGATGGGATTGGAGAATATTGTTCTAAGTGAAGTAACTCAGGAACAGAAAACCGAACATCATATGTTTTCACTCATAGTGGTGGGAGCTAAGCTATGAGGATGTGAAGGCATAAGAATGACACAGTGGACTTTGGGGACTCAGGGGGGAAAGGTAGAAAGGCGGTGAGGGATAAAACACTACAAACTGGTTTCAATATATACTGCTTGGGTGATGGGTGCACCAAAACCTCACAAATTACTACTAAAGAACTTACTCATGTAACCAAATACCACCTGTCCCCAAAAACCTATGGAAATAAGATTAAAAGATTAAAAACAACAACAAGAGGGCTATCAGTTGGCAGCACTTGCAGTAGCTGGGGGATAAGTCCTTCAGTCCTGAAGGAGCATCTGGGCAGCTCATCACAGAATCTACAATGGTCCATCTTTTGTGCCACTCAAATCCACTTCTTATAGGTTCTGGAAGCAGCTCCTCCCCATGACTGCTTCATTTTCCATTTACTGTCAAAATTGACTAAATGGGTACCAAGGGACACCCAAGTAAATTACCTGGTGCCAAAGGCACTCCTCCCTGCCCCTGACTGACAGCAGCCGTACCTCCTCCCTGCTGATTAGGGTCACTTACCCCTGCCAGGGTAGTGAGCCACTTCTTGATTTCTGGCCCCTTGGCACAAAAAACCCAAAGTGCCCTGGTGGCAGCTGCAGCTTAGAATTCAATGGGACTCCCTGTGATCTCTGGGAGGACTTCCCCTTTAGAGAACTAGGACTTCTAAACACACAGAGCTCAGTGCTTCAGAAATGGAAGCAAGAACTCCCCAAGAAGGTCACAGAGTGATGGTATGTGGAGCTTTCTAGACCCACGTATTCTACCCACAGGGGATGCAACCCCTTCAAAGGGGAACCTGGGATGCACAGATGAGATTCTGCACACACAACTCAAGACTGGAGCAGCAATAGTTTAACTAACATCATTTAATGTGTATCACAACATTTTTGGGAAAGGTTCCTCTGGGAGCACAATACACTGTCCTAAGTAGGACTCTGAAGTCATCTTGTATTCTGAAAAGGTGCAGGTGTGCTCCCTGCTCAGGTGACATTGAGCTGCAAGCTTCTCCATGGTTTATACCTTTTTCTACATACTTCTATGGCTTCCTATTGTACACACTCATTCCCTCTCTCTCTTTCACACACGCACACACACACACACACGCACACGCTCACAAACACACACTAGCAATGGAGTAGAGTTTGACCCCAGCCTGCTACCTAGGGTTGAGACTTCCGTTTGAGCCCCAGCCCCTCTCCGGGGGTTGCTCTACCCTGAGCAAACCCAGGCCATTCCTTAGGGTGTCGAGAAAGCAAGGAAGGGGCTGGCTGTTAGAGTCTTGAGAAAGCCATTGGAGAAGAAAACACAACTTTCCCACTTGGTGACAAGATTTTCTGCTTTCTATTTTATTAGATGTCTCAGCTACAAGGAAAAACACAACAGGCCTTAGTTGAGTCTCATTCAGAGTAGAATTAAGAGGCCTCCTGTGTAATTTTCTTCCAGGGCCTTACAGGCTCCAGCAATGCCTCTACTTCTCTGCTTCCAGCTTCTTTTTTGCCAAAGCCCCACGGAGCAGAGGCCTCCCAGGCCCCAGCAGGAGATGACCTCAGCCTCAGCTTTCTCTTCTGAGAGGCTGCTCCTCCTGTCTCTGAGCTGTGGCCCCCTGCACTGGGCTCTGGTGGGGAAGGTGCACTTTTAAGGCTCCAGGTATTTTTAATCACTGTGTGTTTATGGGAACAGGGCACGGGGCTCTGTGGTGATTTTTCTTTTCTTTTCCTGCATCATCTGCTGGGCAGGAGTTCCAGGCTGTATATTTATGGGAGACCCTAGTGGATTCGGAGAGGACAGTGACACACTGATCTTCCTTGGGGGCCTAGAGGCTTTTCTGCTCTTCCCAGACTGTTGCCCTGTACCCGGGACACCTTCCAGAGGGAATCACTGAGCTGTGCAAAGAAGAGGGGGACGTGGTGGCAGAGCCTCTCAAGCACTGGCTTCTAACCTGGGGGGGTCACCCCACTCCTGCAAGTATGCCCAAAATGTCTCTTGTGGCACATCTATGCCTTCCTCAACCTGGGAAACTGCTAAGCCCGGGGCTACAGAAGGAAGGATCTGAGAGACAGAGACGCCACCACAGTCCCGGCCACGTGGGATCACCCAACAAATACTCATCAAGTAAACGATACTCCTGGCTGATGTGGATGACCTGTGGCTGACTCTGTATGTGTGCTTCTTTTCATTCCAGCCCCACCTACAGCCCAGTGGCCCCCAAAGAAATGTCAGTGAGCTGCTGTGTGGGCCTTAGAAGCTGGCCTGCACTTGACTGACCTCCTCCCGCCCCAGGCCTTCGGGATGTTTTTGCAGGGTGCTTACCAGTCTGGGCACAGCCTAGAGCTGTGCCAGTAATCCTGCTGTTGGCACACAGGTGTGAAAAGAACAGAAAGCAGACATCACTGTCTGCTGATTTAATTTTTGCTCTCAGAGCAGCCAGGATTGGATCTGGAAAGCTCCTAATGGCAGGCCTGTCCCTGGAACAAGGGCAGACGCTGTGAGCTTTACAAAGGAGGCTGACAGGCTGAGACTGACAGGAACCAGCCAGTCGGGACAGAATCCACTGGGTTTGGCTTCCTTTTCTTTCTTTCCACAGGGGTGGGGGGTAGAACTCAGAAGAACTCCACTGCTGGCCCTGAGGAGCCTGAAGCCAGAATCGGAGTAGGACACAGCTGGGCATCCCTTCAGGGGAAGCTGAGCTGTGCGTCGCAATGGCCAAAAAGTGTGTGTCCTTTTTATTTATTCATGCAACAAACATTTATCATTAATTCACTCCACAAACATTTATTAAGCACTTATTGTTTGCCTATTGTGTCTCCCCTGGGGACACAAGGTGAATTGGTCAAACGCCCACAGAACTTCCCAGAACTTTTGTTCTCTGTTACCCTTCAGCAGGGGCTTGTGCCTGCCCATGAGATTATCGCGCAGAAGAAGACTTTATGGCCACCGTGTCTACTTGAGCATTGTGTAGAATTTGAACCCAGGCCCGAGGTGCCTCCAGAGATGGCCCTGGAAGACCCCAGTGAAGAGGTGTGGTCCTGTGAGCATCCTCTCGGGCAATCTTGGTTGCCCCAGGTGGGATTTTCTGATGTCCTGTGTTTAGCGGTGGAAAGGCAGACCATGCATCTGTAAGGACTGTCCATGACTTCAGACTCTCTCAGGGGCATGGGAGGAAAAGCATGGGGTCATTTCCCAGAGAGTTTGGTGAGAATGAGCTAACAAGAGTAGCAACCTCTCTATGTGGATGTGAGCTGTTGAGTCTGCAGACCAAGTCCAAGTTATTTGCAGAGGCTCGCCTAGCCCACCATGCTCCAGCTACACAGCGCTCTCCCACCCCCACCTTCCACCCAGCCAATGCGCGCAGTCCCACCCAACATCCTTCACGGCCATGGTGCTGCTTCTCTTTCCTCACAGAGGAGCTCCTAAAGCCATTAGTTTAGTTTGGCTGAGGCTAGACTAGACCAGACTGAAAAGATGGTGCTTTTTACAGCAAAAGGATCCAGACTGGGCACTTGAACACTGAAGGATCAGACTTTCCATTCCTTTCCTCTTTGGTTATCTCAGTTTACTATCCTGTTTTCTTTCATGACGTGCTTTTATTGAAAGCTAATATCGAGGGCTCACTCCATCAGGCACTGTGTTTATGTGAATTGTTTTATTTAATTTTCAAATAGTCTTGTGAAGAAGCATCAGGCAATCACATTTTACAGAAGAGGGGAATGAAGCCTGGCAAGGAGGAAGTTTGCCCAGCATCCCCAGCTAGTTACAAGATTTGACCCCTCATGGTCAGTGCTACTGCTCTTAACCAATGCACTATGCATCAACCTTTGAGGCCAGGTGATTCCACATCACACTTGTCTCATTCCTGGTCAAGGGTGAAGTTAGTCCTTGAACCAGTCATCAATTAATTCAGGATGGTGATTTTCTCTTGTCTCTTGTTTTCAAGACCCAAGGCTTGGCTTCCCCATGTCCAAGGGTAGGATCTGCCTAGTCCTATAGCTCAGAGGTCCCATTGGAGTCAGTGGGGAGTCACTAGCCTCTCCCAGGTCCACCATGCTATATGCCCCCAGAGGGGACCGTAGAGATGAAAGAGGAGGTGATGCTATAAATGCCCATAGAATCTTGCTCTATTGCTCACCCTCTGTGTGACCTTGAGCAACTTATTAGCCTCCTTAAGCCTCAGTTCCTTATCTGCGAAATATAGGTAAAATGAGAACCTTCGTTAGAGAGCTGTTAGTGAATTATATAAGGTAACTCACAGTGGGCATTTATGAGAATGTCTGACACAAAATAAACACTCAATAACTATTAGCTATTATAGGCCCATAGTCCATTACCTATAATGCTGAAGTCAAAAAAAGCTCTGAAAATTGTGCAGTTGGAAGTAAAACCTGTCCCGAAGTGTCATACAACTATATCTAGGTTTTATTTATCCCACTTAGTATAAATATGCATATGCTTCACTGCAGAAATACTAATAAGGTGCCACTCTGGACCCTACTAGGGTTGTTACATGACATACTGTATGTGTACCATATGGCCTTTCTGAAATCTGAAGAACTCTGAATGCCAAAACACTCCTGATTCCAAGAGTGAATGCCCAGTAAGAGATTGTGAACCTGTATTACTTTTGAGAGTAGAGCCAGTAAGTCCCCTGATGGAGTTACAGTAGCATTGACTGTCAACTCTGGAACTGCGAGAGCCAAAACCCTGGAAGGAATAGGATTAACTCCCTTCTCTCCTATAAGAAACTGCAGGCTGCTGCTTAAGGGCAGAAAGAACGAGAGGTAATGAAGTCAGCTGGAAAAATATATCTCCTTGTTCACTTGCTCATATGATCACTGAGGGATTTCTGTAGGGGGTCTGAACCTGGGTGAGAAAAATCTTTAAGGACCATCTCAATTTCAAGATCTCAGGAAAGGTGGTGATCCTCTTACTTCCTGCTTGATCAGCATGTTGCTAGGCTGGGCCAGGGAAAAGGGAGCAGAGCAGTTGTCCTCCCTCAAGGAATATGGACTTTCATTAAGGATACAAGATATGCATGCCTGAAACAAGTAGTGATATGTTAGAAGATTAGATCAGGTTAATTAGAATATATTAGAAGATTATGAAATTAATGTTCAAGTGAGTAACAAAGCTGGTATGCACCATAGGAGTTCAGAAAAGGGATACCAAATGTCAGGGAGCTAGTCTAAGGCCAGCTAATTCTTACAGAGAAGAACCCAAGGAATGGATAAGGAAGGAGAGGAGAGAGGGAATTGAGGA
The DNA here is from genome assembly GCF_000001405.40 of Homo sapiens. Lineage (NCBI taxonomy): Eukaryota > Metazoa > Chordata > Mammalia > Primates > Hominidae > Homo > Homo sapiens. Next base: position 31,300,364 of record NC_000002.12, on the reverse strand, counting down.
TGGAGTGGAAGGAGAAATAGGGACTTTGTGGTCTAAACTCCACATAAGGTATGGGCAATTTGGATAACCCTTCTGAGCCTCAGTTTTCCCATTTCAAACATGGAGACAGTTATAGCTCTCTCTAGCTATGATCATTATAAATATTTTTTAAAATGTAAAGTGTTACCAGAACATTCATTCTTTTTTGGTAGCCATAGCCCCTGCAATTTGACTCTCAGAAACTGAGTTTTTGTTGATTCCATGATGCCTGTTGACCTTGAACTGGGTAGTTTACAGCCAAGCTCAAAGGTGTATGTTTGACAAAGGCATAGAAATCAGGAGGAAAAACAAATAATTATTCAACTAGCCAGAACCCCAAACAAATAACCCCCTTCACCCACAGCAACACTTGACAACTCTTTACATTACATTCAGCCACTTTCGTTATTCTAATTAAGCTGATCCTCCATCCAGCTGCAGAGAGAGAAAGCCAGCCTGCCCGTGGGACCTTTACCCCTAAGTCAGAGATGTTTGTTCTTAGGAGATCTCATTTTATCTTCTTCTTAGGACCTCTTGGCCTGTTATAGCACACAGAACCACCCCATGGATGACTTCCTGATGGATGATGATTGTCCTGATATCTTGGCTCCGATGGCATTGTGCAGCCTCAGCAGGTCACACAGATACTAAAACCATGCAAATCCTACATGTCAATGAGGGGAGAGGCGAAGGGGAAATTGTAAAACAAAAGGGAGCAGAGGTTATCACTGGTAGAAACACAGAGTGAGAGAAGGCTGCATGCTATTTAATGCAAAGGAAAAGTGGAAGAAATAGTCACCGGAGCAGAGTTAACACCAGAGCCCACTCTCTAAGCAGAGAGCTCAGGAAAGCCATCTAAATTCTGATGGGAAACATCCTTACCTCAATATAAAACACCTAATAGAGCTGGGACAAATAAGGTTCTTGACAAATAGATGTTACTTGTAGTAGGAGCAGGGGTTTGGTAACATCGTCATCATCATCATCATCCCCCATCACAGAGGACAAGAGTTCATGAAGATCATCTCTTCTCTGAAGGCTGGGGTCAGGAAGAGCCTATCTGCTCCAGTGACAGTGAGAGAGGAGCCTGGCCACAGCAGAGGCCAGGCCTGGCAGTTTCCATGTGGAGGTTGGAAGAATTTGAACATCAAACTGAGCCTTCATCTACAGTCACTGGGGTGACATTGGGCATTGTTGAGAGAACAAACATTGTGATTAAAAATGACACAAAGGGAGCCCTGTAGTGATAGACGATTGTGAGTGTTTAAATGAAGAAGGGGAGGGGTCAAGAAGACTAATCGGAAAAAAAAATGAAGTGCTACGTCCTGATGACAACTTTGTTTTGTTTTGTTCAAATTGCTTTTATTACTTATCAATGGCAGTTTCTTATAAAATTTGAGATGACATTCACAATTCAGTGGCCTTTAATACATTCATAATGTTGTTCGACTACCACCTCTATCTAGTTCAAAACATTGTCATCAGTCAGTAAAACCTCTACTCACTAAGCAGTCCCCTCCCCACCATCCCATCTCCCTCCAGCCCCCGAGACACCATCCAATTTGTCTTCTGTCTGTATGGACTTATCTATTCTGGATATTGCATACAAAGGGAATCATATGATATGTGACCTTTTGTATCTGGCTTCTTTCACTTAGTATGATGTTTTTGAGGTCCATCCACCTTGTAGCAGGCATCATTACTTCATTACTTTTTATGGCTGAATAATGTTCCATTGTGTGGATGTACCACTTTTTGTTTATTTGTTGGTGGATATTTGAACTGTTTTCACATTATGGCTATTGCCAATAGTCAGTATGAACATGTGTGTACATCATGGAGGAATTTCTTATGGCTCTCTGAGTGGGATGGTTATTTTTGCTATGATTACACCCTGTAAAAGCAACTGCCCTCCTAAACAGACAGATGCTTCTTCCAGGGGAAAGAACTCCTGGAGGCTGCCAGTATCCAGCTGAAGGTCCTGATGACCTCTTAAAGATGACTTTAAGTGGCTTTAAATGTCTTTATGCATCCTTTGCTTGGATGCCAGGGCCAACCAAACTTTCTCACATAACACTTAAAAAGTTAGAGTCCCAATTTTTGTTCCTGGTGAGCCATAGACATCCATAGGCAAGAGGATAAAGATTGGATTACCTTCCTTCTGGGAAAGTAGCTCTAATTCAGCTCATGTGGCCTGTGAGAGGCAGTGTGGTCTGGTGGAAAACATCCCTGATTGGAGTCAGAAGACAGACGGATGTTTAAGAGATGGCTCTGCCACTCCCAGGCTGTGTAGCAGCTGAGTAGCTCTGAACCCCAGCTTCCTCATTTTTCAAGAGGTGCTGTGATTGCTGCTTGCCTTTCTCACTGAGTTGTTAAAAGGCTGAAGGAGTTGTCATATGTGGGAGTGAATCTTAAACAGTCAAGGATCACACATTTGTGCTATGACTATTACTCCCCTGTTAGGAGACATGCAGGGTGACAATTGTGACTCACCATCAGTAGACTTTGTGTTAGTCACAGTGCATTACTTGCAAGTATTAAAAAAATGGAGACCTATCAGAAGGCTACTGTGTCACCCATAGAATTGAAGGAGAAATGAATAATCAGGCCCCAAAGGGCAGGAACCAGACAAGGTCTGGGGCTTCGGGGAGCAGGGGCTGACTGTTGGGGTGAATGAGAGGTGGCCATTTTTCTGTCTTTGCTTTGCTGCACTCAATGTTCAAAATCCCAGGAAAGGGTCTGATTGATGGACTGCTTGCCTAGGGGAGGACAAAGTCCTTGACTGACAATTCCACCAGGTTGCACCACAGGGGAAGAGGTGATTCTCCAAATAAAAATCAGGGAGCTATTAATAGGAGAAAGGGGGAATAGATTCTGGGAGGCCCCCAAACTGTCCACCAAAAATGTACTCTTTGAGCTGCTCATGCAGAAGCAAGCACAGATTGGGACTCCCGAGCCAATGGCTCTGGGGCTACCCTCAAGCTGAGCGCAACTTGGAATGACTAGGGATTTGGGGTGCAGTTTGGAGCCTGCTACCTGCATGCCGGTGCAAGGTGCTTCCGTTAAACACCATGCACAATGTGTGTGATCCAAGATCTCAGGCTTGAGAAATCTGAACCAAACTGCATCTGGCTACTAAAAATATCCAGGCTCCAGGGAGGCAGCAGAGAGAACTTTTCCAAAGCCAGCTGAGGCCTTCGATGTATGTAGGAAATTATTAATCATGCCCTGTGATTCTTCTTGGTATGAGCTGGCTTCACACTTTAAAAATAAATAAATATGAACCGAGGCCCATCCAACCCCTCCTTTCTTTAACTATCCATCTCGGAAATAGTTGGTAACCCCCACTGCCCATGCCCCCTGGGTGTAGGCTGCCCTGCTCCCTGGAAAACAGGAATTTCTTATCAGATCAACAGGAAATTCTATTTTTACTTGATGTTAGAATTAAAAATATCACAGGGAGAGAGAGAGACCTCTCGTATCCAAGCCTTGCACTAAATTTATCCCCCAACTGAGGAGCTCTCCTTCCAAATAGTTGCTCCCAGGGTTCTCTCCCTCCGAGACTGGCCCCAGATGGCAAGAGAGACAAAGATCTTTGACACGCCAACTTGGTTTTCTTTCTAACCCCAGGTCACAGTATTGCTGTGGAGACCACCTAGGGAACTTGTAGAATGCTTCACGGCAAGTCACAGTTGAGCCTAGACAGTGGCTCCAGAGGCATTCACTAAGAAGCAGAGACAGCTCAGGTTAGAAGCACTGTAACACTCACTAAGAGCCCTGGCTAAAAGTGGTGCCTAAGTTGAGTGACTCCATTTTCAAAAGCAAGCAAGAAGAGTGAAGCAAAGTTTACTGATGCCAGACTGTGTGTTAGGTACTTACTAGCATGGGTCAGGCCATTCAATCTTTCCAGCAGCCCCCAAATAGAAGTAACAGCAGCAGCTGCTGCATCTTTCCAGTTTACAGAGGAGAAAGCACAGGCTGAAGAAGGTTTCTGGGATTAGAATTAGAACTGGGTCAACTTGATTCCAGAGCTCATGCTCTTTTCTCTTTACCATCAGTATTTTTTTCAACATCTTGAGGCAGGTCAGAAGCTAAGCTAATGAATCCAGCAGCTGCTAGTGTAGGCACTACCAGCTGGATGACTGGCAGCCTCCAGGACTCCTTTCTCCTGTAAGAAGCATCTATCCAGAAGGGCAGCTGATTTCACAGAGTTGTAATCATAGCACAAATAACTACCCTACTTAGAGAACTACAAGAAATTCCTCAATGCCCAGTTTGCTTAACTTGCAAGTTGTATGACTCTTTCTTGTAACCCTGCTAATATATCCTTAGCTTCTTGTCTGAGATGTGTGTAAACCAGTTAAATAGGAGAGTTATCTGACCTCCCTTGCAGGATATGTGACAGGGGTTTGGCTCATCTGTCACCACCTCTGCTCAAACCCCTTATGGGAAGGGGAGCACACAGATGGACAGGTGCAGGAGCCAGGGTGCTAGGCTCTGGCCCCATGGCAGTGTCCAGGGGTGGGAGCCTGTGACTCCTAGAGCCCAAGTGGGCATGTGTTACAGTGTGCTCTTTTAGCCTTCCCATCTGTGGATTGCTTAAGTGTTAACAAGCTCACTGGACCCTCTGGTTTTTTTTGCAAGGGCAGAGGGCCAGTGTGACAGCTTTCTGTATCCCAAGCTCTTGTCCAGCATCCTGGAAGAATCGGGTTACACACGGACTTGAAGGATAGTGAACGCAGGGGTTTTGGTGGGTGGTGGAGGTGGATCTCAGCAGGATGGATGCAGAGCTGAAAAGGGGATGGAGTGGGAAGATGATCTTCCCCTGGAGTTTGGCCATCCAGCGGCTGATACTCTGACCATCCTTAGTGGAACTCCTCCTGACGTTCCTTCTCTTCTGTCCTTCTCTGCTGCTCTTCTGCTCTTCTGTTCATCTGCTTGTCTGCTCGTCTGCTTCTGGAGCCTGGGGTCTGGGGTTTATATGAGTACAGGATAGGGGGCTTGGCAGGTGAAAAGGCAAGTTTTTGGGTGCAAAACCAGGAATGCCTGTTCCCATTTAGGGCCATGGGTATCCAGGCTTGAGGCTGAGGATTTTGACGCTCTTCTACTCAGTATTTCCCTGTCTCCTGTCCATATCACCAGCACCTTATTTACTTACTGAGTGTTTTGTATTGTTTATTTTCTTTTAATGGTGCAACTAAAAGAGTATTGCAGGATATCTGGGCTTTAACCCTGGCTCTGAAGCTGAGACTTTATGAAATTAACTTCTCATCTCAGGGCCTCAGTTTTCTCATCTGTACTAATAACAAGCTGAGTCCTCATATGGCAAAAAGTGGGGCTAGAGATCTCTCTGGGTCCCCTTTTATAAGGGCATTAATCTCGTTCATGAGGGCTCTGCCCTCATGACCTAATTACCTCCCAAAGGCCCTACCTCCAAATACTACCATATTGGGGATTAGCATTTCAACAGAAGATTTTTTGGGAGACACATTTAGTCCATAACAGCACCTATTATAAATGCCACAGACCCCTGACCTCTCTGCCACCAATAAAAGGAAGAGGGTGCCCACCTTCTGAGATCCTTCCTGCTGTGGGGTTGATCATCCCTTTAAGGAAGCCAGGTATTTGGCTAATGGCTGAGAGGCAGCTTCAACTTTTGGCACCATGTCCAGGAGTGAGAGATGGCCTGTCACATTTTAAAACTTTGATGTATTTGTTAACTTCCAAAGAATTGGTCTATTCATGCAGAAGCAGTATAAGGAAAGGAGATCAAAAGACAAAAAAAGGAATTGGAGCATGTCATAGACAGAAACCCAGTGACTCAGGTCGAAAGGCTGACAGCTCTCAGAATACTCAAGAATTGGGGCCAGATAAAAACCAAAAAGCTAACACACTCTCAAACAAGCTCACACCTCTCATTGTAAGGGTACACTGTATTGCCAAAGGCAAGGTACTTGTGGAGCCAGTTAAGGACTCTGAATGCTAATTGCATGGATAACAGCTAAAGCCAGGGCCTGGATAGATGAGTCAAGTATGAACTCAGATGCCTGAGAGCAACAGAAGGAGGAACTTGGAGGTATGAAAGTTGGTTCAAGAGTGGGTCACTGTACTCAATCTGGCCTTTGCCTCCCCTGTAGAAGGCAGTATAATATCCCATGAGAAAGATGGCATATTGAAACCTCCTTTGCAAAAATTATAACAGAAAATTCTGGCATTGTGGGGGAGATCTGATCTAGCCAATCCTCTTCTTGCCTTTAGCCTTCCAGCTGCCAAGCTAGCTTTGGGAGACATGTAGGTTGTAGTTTTAATGATAATAGCCCTTCCACAAACCTCAACTGCCTTAGTAAAGCTAATGAGAGACCACTAGGCTAAGAGGAAGAGAGGAGCCTGAATTTTGCTAAGGTATAGACATAAACAATTGCCAGCCATTATTTAACAAGTTACAAGATATGCCACTTTCCAAATTACTCCTACAGATGACATCTCCTTTGTGGAACCTAAGATTGGCCTTTCAAGATACGTTTTCAGGTGTTTTGCATGTCTCACATCCATAGCTCCACTTGGACCCACTGATCAATGGCTCCTGTGGCATCATGTAGAAGTGAATCAGCACACAGAAGGACAATTTTCCACACCCCTATGATTGCACCCCAACCGATCAGCAGCAAACACCATTCCCTAACCACCCCCAGCCCTTCCCCCAAACTGTCTTTGAAAAACCCCTAACCTAGGAGCCTTCGATGAGATTGATTTGAATAATAACTCCATCTTCTGCATAGCGTGGCTGGCCTTGCATCAATTAAGCTCTTTCTCTACTGCAATGCCATGGTCTATTGTGTGCAGCAGGAAGGAAGAACCCACCAGGTGGTTACAGTGTGCCTATCAGACTGCTAGTTGATCATCTCTACACCATGAGTGCCTGGTATGCAAGGTACCATAATGAGTACTGGGGGAAGATCATGCATAGAGAAGGGTACATAGCAAGACAGCCTAGAAGAGATTTTTGTCCCACATTCTCGTTTTATAGAAGTGAGGAAACTGAGACCTGAGAGCAGGAGTGACTTACTCAGGATCACATAGCTCGGCAGTGGTAAGCAGGGCCAGGATCCGGGGCTCTTGTAGTTAGGTTCTTGCCTCAACAATCCTACAGAATGGTGAAACTCCCTTTGCAAAATTATAACTGAGGAAATCAAGACAGTGAAAGAAATCAGAACTAACTGACTCTATCTTGCTTCTCATCCTTAAGCTGTCCTTGTTCATTCCTGGATGTAGGCCGAACTAACTTTGGGAAGGAATTCAGTTATTAGTTTGACTCTGAAACAAAATTGATAACAGCCCTTTCCCAAAAAGACCCCCTTCTTGTCTCGGGCCCAAGAATGGCCCCCTTCTTGTCTTTGCTGGACTAACAAATTAGCTACAAGATTAGAAATTACAATTTAGGGGTCATGCAGCCTCTGGCTCCAGGAGTCTGAACCTCTCCAACTTGCTTCTGGGGGTAAACATCACAACCTAAGATCAGTGCTTGAGATATTTTGCAGATCCTGCACTTGATGGATCAGCTGACACCACCCAGACCAGTAATCTGGCTCAACCAGCTCTGTGATCCCATTCAGAAATCAGCAAGAAGAACTCACTTCGACCCCCTATGATGTTATCGTAAGCCTGACCAATCAGCACTCCACACTTTCCGAGCCCATACCAGCCAAATAATCTTTAAAAATTCTGATCCCCGAATACTCAGGGAGACTGATTTGAGTAATAATAAAAATCCAGTCTCCTGCCCAGCTGGCTCTGCATGAATTACTCTTTTGCCATTGTAATTCCCCTCTCTTGATACATCAGCTCTATCTAGGCAGCGGGCAAGGTGAACCCATTGGGCAGTTACAATGGTGTCATAAAAGAGGTGTGGGCCTGAATATTAGGAGAACCTGATTCTAGAATTAGGTCAGCTACTTACCATGTGACCTTGGGGACTTCATTTCACCTCCTTTAAGCCTCAGTTTTCCCATCTGTAAAACAGGGGATGGGACTAGATGGTCTCTTTGGTCTCATGTTTCAATAGTCAGGATAGGCTAGATTTTGCTGTGATAACAAAGAACCCCCAAATCTCAGTGGCTTAAGAAGCAAATCTTTTTTTTTATTTTTGTAAATTATTTATGATTTAGAAGGATTATCTTCAAATCAGTAGAAATATTTCATAAATAATATCTGGCCATTTTCTAACCAATTGAGGAATTTGTTGCATAATAAGCCACCTTACATCTTTCAGCAAGAAAAGCATTAAATCTGAATAGTAAAGACATTATAAGGCCAGATGCGATGGCTCATGCCTGTAATGCCAACACTTTGGGAGGCCAAAGCTGGCAGATCACTTGAGCTCAGGAGTTCAGCCTGGGCAACGTGGAGAGATCCCATCTCTACAGAAAAATAAAAATTTAGCCAGGCATGATGGTGCACACCTGCAGTCCCAGTAACTAGGGAGGCTGAGTAGGAGGATCACTTGAACATGGGAGGTCGAGGCTGCAGTAAGCCGTGATCACACCACTGTACCCCAGCCAGAGTCACAGAGCAAGACCTTGACTCAAAAAAAAAAAAAAAAAAAAAAAAAAAGACATTACACAATGAATTAGGACACGATAAAAATTTGCTTTAAACATTTCTTTGGGGGAGGGGACACCAACGCTTCTACTCAATGAAGAGAAACATTTTTACAGTCCAGAGGGGTTTAATTTTTTGCACCTATTATGCCATGAATCCATAAGAAAGAGGTTCTAGCAGCTCAGGCTCCTTCTCATTGGTTCTCACAAAGTGTGCTTCTCTAGTGGAGCAGGCTGGCACTTCAGCTGAATCCAGGTAACTTTCTCTTTGGCTTCCTTGTTTTTCTGACCATTTTTCTTCACATGCTTCAAGAAGCTATCTTGGCTCTCAGAGTGCTTAATGTGCTCAATATGCACATTGGTTCTCTTGGCAAGAATCTTGGCCTTAACTTGTTTATTTATAATAATGCCAACAACACGCTGGGTGGCATTGTAGGTTCTTCCAGTATTGCCATGGTAACACTTGTAGGGCCTTCCTTTCTGAACAGTACCCATTTCCTTGATGTCTATAATATGGCCTTTCTTATAGATTTGCTTGTATGTGGCCAAAGGAACAACTCTGTTTTCTCTTTTTCTGAGATGGAGTTTCACTCTTGTTGCCCAGGCTGGAGTGCAATGGTGTGATCTTGGCTCACCGCAACCTCCATCTACCGGGTTCAAGTGATTTTCCTGCCTCAGCCTCCCGAGTAGCTGGGATTACAGGCATGCAGGCATGCGCCACCACGCCCAGCTAATTTTGTATTTTTAGTAGAGACGGGGTTTCTCCATGTTGGTCAGGCTAGCCTCAAACTCTCCACCTCAGGTGATTCGCCCACCTAGGCCTCCCAAAGTGCTGGAATTGCAGGCATGAGCTACCACACCCAGCCAACAGCTCTGTTTTCTAAAAGACCTAGAGAACATGTGTCGGGTGCCTCTCTTCTTTCCCTTTGTGTTCATTATTTTGGCAAATTACTGGAAGATGGCAGTTCCAGCCAACAGGGCAAAGGCCTCTTTTTCATTCACATCCTATGATCCTGTGGGTTGGCAGGACCCAGGCTGATGGAAGCTCAGCTTCCATCATGTATTTCATGCGGAAGAAAATATAATAAAGTGTATACTGGCCTTTAAAGCTTTTGGCCAGAAATGACATGTGTCACTTCCACATATATTTTGTTGACCAAAGCAAGTCACGAGGTCATCTACCATGCACCCAGAAGACCCTAGAAATAATTGACAACAATCCTGCCTCCCATATGGTGCAAAGAGCTATGTGGATCAGTGAGGGTGGGGGTGGGGGTGGTGGGAGACACTTGCCCCAGTGAACTTCATGGAAAGACTTCATAAAGGCTCCACTCTGAGAGGTGGAGATCAGAAAACACTGAATCTAGAAGGGGTGGCAGGAGCAGAAGCAGAAGTGCCACAAACGTCAAGAATGCAAACTTAATGGGGAACTGCCTAGTGCCTAGATGCGCTGAAGTACAAGTGCACTAGGGGAGAATAAGAAGCGAGACATCTGACACCAGGTCATGCAGGGCCTTAAAGGCAATCAAAGGCCTTGAAGGGGTGTTTAGCTTATTTGCATTTGCTAGGCCCTGAATTTTTTTTTTTTTTTTTTTTTTTGAGACGGAGTCTCCCTCTGTCATCCAGGCTGGAGTCCAGTAACTGATCTCGGCTCACTGTAACCTCTGCCCGCCAGGTTCAAGTGATTCTCCTGCCTCAGCCTCCCAAGTAGCTGGAACTACAGGTGTGCACCACCATGCCCGGCTAATTTTTGTACTTTTAGTAGAGACGGGGTTTCACAATGTCGCCCAGGCTTGACTCAAATTTCTGAGCTCAAGTTGTCCGCCTGCCTCAGCCTCCAAAAGCATTGGGATTACAAGCCTGAGCCACCGCACCTGACCAGGCCCTGAAATTTCTGAGCTGGTTTGTGAGCTTATCAAGCAGTGTGTGGGATGGCACCAGCAGCTGTAGAGATGAGGTGAGGAGAGTACAAAGGAGTATGCAGACCAGGAGGCCACTGCTATCCTTTGGGGAGAGGTGACAAGGCTTCAAGGCCTGATGCTTTATTTTAGGGCAGGTGCAGCAGGGGAAATAGAACAAATGCAAGAGTAACTACATGGGAAAGAACCTAGCACAGGTCTTGGTGCCTTTGACATGTGGCCTGAATTTGGTGACCAGTTGATGGTATCTAAAGAGGAGGAGGGAAGAATGAAGACAAGCTGGAAGATTTGAGTCCGCATGCCTGGAAAAAAGGGGTGCTATCTGCAGAAAGCAGGGAGTCAGGATGGGGAGCTGGTTTGAGATGAGGGGTGTGGGGAGGAGTGCTGAGTTCTAAAGGTGACCATTGAGTTTCTTCATTCCCTCCTCTCTTCATGGGAGGGTGGAGAAGAGGAGAATGGATTGCTGGAGTGTGTAGTTGGGTTGAAGCAGTCCTTCTGGATATGAAATTCAAGCCAGCGTCCCCAAAACCACTAGGGAGACTGTGGTAGGCCAGGTCTCACTAAGGCAGGCCTCCATAACAACTGTTTCAGCACTGACTGAGTGGTTAAGTTAAATATTAAAATCTGAAAGCGCCAGTGCCCTATTACAAAGGCTAGAATGTAACAAAAGCCCACCAAGAATTTTGCCTAGGCCTTTCCTGGGCCTTGAAGGATGACAAGATAATGAAGGAGTTCTTAACAGAGCCCTCTTAGAATTAGACAAGTTTTTTGGGGGGTCTGAAGAAACTCCCCAGGCCTCCACAAACAAATTTATGGGGGTCTGAAGGAACTCCCCAAACCTCCATGATTTAGCAGGAGACAAGTCCTGGACCTATTTAGATTAAGTATATTTACTGAGGCTCCAGAGAAAGGTCTTCGAGACTCAGACCTCAGTTACATATTAAAAGAATTTAATCACTTATGTCTTTAGATGAATGCGCACTTACACCTAGACATATAACTTAGAAGGTATATAAGCTCTGGAAAACTTTATAATTTTGAGTTAGTCTGGGGAGAATTTCTGGGCCTTCTTCCTACAACCAGTTACAGAAATAAAAACTCCCTTTTCTCCCAGTTCATGTGTATCTCGTTAGTATTAGAAAAATAATGAATAAGCAGCTTATTAGAATAAGCAGCCTGACCCTCAGTTTAGTTCAGGAACAAGACTATGAGAGGATCTTTGAGTTGTCCAGCCTGTGTTTTCTGAGCATGCAAAGATACACACAGTGGTCTTAGCATCCCAAAGGAGCAGGGGTGATTTGTTTGGGAGTTGCCTGGAACTGCCTTGGCATGCGTTTTTCTAAGGGAGACTTCTTGGGAAAGGAAAGGGTATCTCTGCCCCTCTAGTAGATGGAGAGCCTGTGGTGCTCCCTCCTGAACTCTAAGGCCATGGCAAGAGGACACTCTGGGCTAGAATCATGGTCAAAGGCATGGGTAAAGTACAGTGCCAAACAAAGGAGACCGGGCTCATCAGCTGTTCATCTCTCTAAAGGGTCATTTTTGGGTCTCCTATTCTCCATGCTGAGGCTGATGGCTTCTGAGAGACAGGGAGAAGAGCCAAAAGGAGGAGTCAGCTCTGACTCCAAGTCCCTGCTGTGGGTGACTGAAGGACCTGTCTCCACTGGACGGGTATGGGAATCCCCCTCCCCTGAGGCTTAGGGTCTGTAGAATAACTAGGCTGGCATCAACTGTTCCTTCTGGAGAGGACTCAGTTTCCAACAGTCATTTTGTGTATTCTGACCAGATCTCAACTAGCCATTTCCAAAGCCACTACTATCATCCTGAGTTAATCTAGAAAAGATGTTGACATTCCTTCCAGCCCCTGCTGCTCACCATCCTCCTTCAAGACTCTGAATGGGATTATTTAAAGTAATAATGAAAAGCAAAACAGGAAATTCTTATCTGTTTTGGCAGGAAATTCTTTAGCTGTGTGGAAGGTTCTGCCCTGGGGGTTTGTGCCCTCCAGGAACTGTTCTGCAATGATTTATGGTCCAAGATGGCGCCAGCCCTTCCTTGGCCCACGGGGTGAGAGAGGGAGGCATATGCTGGACCCTGGGAAGCAGGATTTGCATTATCTTGAAATGTACATTTCTATTGATAACATATTCATTGTCTCCACTCATAAGTTATGGTCCTGTTTTTGTCTTGTCCTGGAATAAGGAGTAGCAAATTCAGGCGAAGTTAAGATGTTCCATTTCAGGTTTGAAAAGCTTCATTCTTTAGAATGTGTTACTTTATGTGAAATCCTAGGTAATAGAACATAGAGGAGAAGCTGTTGTGATAGACACTTTATGTAGGTCATGTTATGTTCTCTCCCTACAGGTATTATTTTCTCCATCTCACAGATGTGGAAACTGAAGCTCACTGAAGTTAAGCAACCCGGTCAAAGTCACATAAGGACTAAAGGGTGGAGCCCAGAGGAAATGTGTTTTCGTTAGACTCTGAGTGACCCTGAGGCCCAGGCCAGGCCAGCTTTGCTCCCCTTTGTGTCCCCAACACCAGGCAGAGTGCGTGGAATACAGCAGGCACTTGAGAAACAGATTCTGGATGAAAGGATGAAGGTGTGGGATCTGTTGGCTGCAGTGTCCTGTGGCTAGGCCTCCTTGTTCCTGTTCCCATGTGGTCTTCTGATTATTTCTAGTGTTCACCACACCGGAGATGACAAATTTCACAAAAATGCTGAGGGACTGATTGTTGGGTGTCACTGAGAGCTAGTCTCTCTCTTTCTCTCTGTCTCTCTCTTTCTAATTACCTATTGGGAGTTACATCCTTCTGTTGGTTCCACGACTTTGGGCTTTCATCTCCCATTCCTTTTTATAAGATTCCTAGCCAGGCGCGGTGGCTCACGTCTGTAATCTCAGCCCTTTGGGAGGCCGAGGCATGTGGATTGCCTGAAGTCAGGGGTTCGAGACCAGCCTGATCAATGTAGTGAAACCCCGTCTCTACTAAAAATACAAAAAAAAAAAAAAAAAAAAAAGCTGTAATCCCAAGTACTAGGGAGGCTGAGGCAGGAAATCACTTGAACCCCAGAGGTGGAGGTTGCAGTGAGCCGAGGTAGCGCCATTGCACTCCAGCCTGGGCAACAAGAGTGAAACTCTGTCTCAAAAAAAAAAAAAAAAAAAAAAAGATTCCTTTCTTTGGAATCTGCATTAGAACAAAGCTGGTTCTGAAAGTGCTCAGAGGCCCACCTCTGAGGCTCAAGGGCCGATCTGTGTTGGAGCTGGCTCCTCCACAAACCCTGCTTCCTCCCTCATTGTCTTGACAATGTCTTGCTTAGGAGTCAGAAGACCTAGCTTCCAATAACAGGGCTGTCATTAACTGGCAGGCACTTGTACTTCTGAACCGGTTTCTTCATCTTTATTTTATTTGGCTGGCAAAAGATTTTGTCTGTAGCTGATTTTTGAATGCCTTTATCTACCAGGGCATGCGATCTCCTGTTCTACCAGTCCAGCGTGGCTTGTTGGCTTAGAGCCATCTACTTCACTTGTTTCCATTTGAGTTTGAATCTTCAGACAAAATGGTTCATGTATCCTCTTCTGGTGCCAACAACCCCTGTGTATGTGATTCTAGGATGCTTACCATGCCCCTTCACCCTGGCCTTTCCTTCCTATTCAAGAGGTTTGTCACTGGCGATGGTGTTTTCTCCATTGTCAAGCCTCCTCTATGGCTGGTGCTTCATACCTGGTACCCCGACACTTTGCCTCTCTTCATGCCTGCTGACTGAGTCACTTCAAATTTCCACCACCATGGGCTCTTGAACTTGTGACTTCTTGGCCTGATTTTTATACCCACATTGTTAGCCCTGACTGATATTAAGGTTCTCCACAGGTCTGACTGACCTGAGCAATCCCATATTCATTCATTCATTTATTCATCCATCCAAGAAATATTTATGTTAACTCATTGTTAACTTGCAGGGCCTCACTCTGCTGCCCAGGCTGGAGTGCAATGGCATGACCACAGCATACTGTAACCTCAGACTTCTGGGCTCAAACAATCCTCTCACTTCATCCTCCCGTGTAGCTGGAAATGCAGGTGTGCACCACCATGCCTGGCTATTTTTAAAAATTTCATAGAGACGGGATCTTGCTATGTTGTCCAGGCTAGTCTCAAACTCTTGGCCTCAAGCTGTCCTCCCACCTTGGCCTCCCAAAGTGCTAGTTGTGAGCCACTGCACCCCACCTCATTGTTACTTTTGGTGCTGCTAACTTACTTATAGAATGGACATAAGAATTCTTAGAATGGGCCTGAGAATTGACAATCTGTTTTTATTTATCCCTTCTAATTTGATAAGTAGGCTAACACTTATATATACCTGTTATATACCTGTCATAGTGTTACCAGTGGGTCTTTGTTCTTAGAGCTCCCAAGATGGCGGCAAGCCTTTTGCTCTCTGACCTGGGGTTCTTGGCCTCACGGATTCCAAGGAATGGAACCTTGGCCCATGCGGTGAGTATTACAGCTCTATTAGAAGCCGTGGGTCAGGGAAGAGAACCGTGGAACCCAGTGACTAGTGTTCAGCTTGATTAGGACAAACCCGGGCACTTAGCCATGCAGGAACAATAGCGAACCTCTAGCCCGATAGGGAACGGCAATGGATGGGCGCCTTGCTGATCAGAAGCGCAGCGTACACCCTGCTGGATCCGGAGGGGTGGAAGTTAGCGGCGGGTCTGCGACAGCGGCAATCAGCAGTGGTGGACGGTGAGCAAAAGCTCAGCTTGAGCCAGAACAAACACGGACCAGAAGAGTGTGCAGCTGCAAGATTTAATAGAGTGAAAACAGAGCTCCCATACAACGGGAGGGGACCCAAAGGGGGTTGCCACCGCTGGTTCGAATGCCTGGGTTTATATCCTGATCATTGTCCCTCCCCCTGTGCTCTCAGGTGATAGATGGTTGACTATTTCTTTACCTCCTGCTTTTAGCCTAATGGGTATTTTAGTGAGCTCTCTTTACTACCTGACTGGTCAGGTGTGAGCTGAGTAACAAGCCCCGTATTTAAAGGTGGGTGCAGTCCCCTTCCCCAGCTAGGCTTAGGAATTCTTAGTCGGCCTAGGAAATCCAGCTAGTCCTGTCTCTCAATAGTCCATTTGGGTTGCTATAACAAAATACCATCGACTAGATGGCTTATAAATAACATAAATTTATTTCTCACATTTCTGGAGACTGGGTAGTCCAAGAAGAAGGCACTGGCATATTCAGTGCCTGGTGAAGGCCCATTTCCTGGTTGATAGTCCTCACATGGTGGAAGGGGCCAGGCAGCTCTCTGGGCCTCTGTTATAAGAACACTAATCCCATTAGTGAGGGCTCCACCCTCATGGCCTAATCACCTCCCAAAGGCCCCACCTCCTAATACCATCACATTGGTGATTAGGTTTCAACATATGAATTCTGGGGGGACACAAACATTCAGATCACAGCAATGCCTGTTTTACAGATGAGGGGATGGAGACTCAGAGTTCTCAAGTTACCTACTCAGAGTCACAGGGCTAATAGCAGCAGCGCCAGGAGCCATCCACTGGTCCTCTGATTTTATCTTTTCAAGATGCCTTTTCGTTTCTAACTCCTGACTGAAAGGGGAGAGGCATTTCCAGGTTTGGAGAATTTCCTAAACTCAGAAAAGATGTTCTAAAAAGAAATTGTGTGCCTCAGCACTTCTCCTGAGAAATCACTGTTACAAAAAGTGGGTCCAGGATGGGGGGAGGCTGGGTAGGATGAGGCATCAAAGGGATTTGAGAATGTGAGCTCTACTGGGAAGTGGCTGGGTGGGAGGGGATGTTATAAATAAAGTTTTGATGCCACAAAAGAAATTGTACTTGAATACAAAATTCTCTTTTTAATTCTCAGCAAGGCAAGTTACTTCTATAGAAGGATGCACCCTTACAGATGGAGCAATGGTGAGTGCACACTTGGACAAGGGAGGGGAAGGGGTTCTTATCCCTGACACACGTGGCCCCTGCTGCTGTGTCGTTCCCCTACTGGTTAGGGTTAGACTGCACAGGCTAAAATAATTCTGATTGGCTAATTTAAAGAGAGTGACAGGGTGAGTGGTTTGGCAGGAAAAATGGTTATGACAGAGCAGGTAATCGGAATGAGTCAGGTGGAGCAGGTAATCAGAATGAGTCAGGTGGAGCAGGTAATCGGAATGAGTCAGGGTGGAGCAGGTAATCGGAATGAGTCAGGTGGAGCAGGTAATCAGAATGAGTCAGGGTGGAGCAGGTAATCGAAAAAGGTTGCTTTATGAGGAAGTTAAGTTTAAAAGTAGAAGGCAAAGAATTGAACATACTGACATATTGATTCTTTGAAAAGAAACTTAGAACTCATATCTAACAGGGAGAAAGATGGGGCACACAATGGCACATACTGCAGACCGGGCTGCTTCCTCCCAAGGCCCTGGGGAGCCCTCTTGAGGACTTGAGGTTTTAGAAAAGGGCATTGTCAGGAGCTGGCAGCCACCTGTGAATTGGTGGTAATGAATGTACTAACACTGTTACCTGTTAGGAAGAGTAAGAAACACAGTCAGAAGATGCTTGGGAGGACCTTGGAGGAGAGGCAAGTTCTGGGAATTTCTGTGGGTAGGCTTTAGGGGATTTTGTAGCATTTGGGAAAGTGTTTTGAGCCAAAGCAGAAGACCAGCCTGTGGCCTTGGCTTTACAAAGTATTTGTCAGGGCTGAGGTCTAACAGAGTGATGGCCTGACCTAAGCTGGAGGACAGACAGCTGAAGGTCAGTGATCAGAAGGCTCTACACAGCAGAGAGAGACCAAGAGTTTAATCTTGCACCAAGCTAATTGAGCTACTGAGAGCGTGTTTCTGTGATTTATAAACCTATCTGTCCTTTGTGTGCCAAGATATTACTTCTCAGTGTCATAAAAATTGGCATATAAAAATATCTGTCTTCCTTTCCCAGGTTAACCTTCTCCAGGATCCTGTAATTATCTCACTCCATCCTCTCCCTGTCCCCTTTGTGTTTTGTAGTGATGACTCACTCATTGCAGTTTGCCTGGGACTTTACTGGTCTAAGTGTTACAGGAAAGGGTTTCCCATCCAGAACCCAAGAGAGGGTTCTTGGATCTCATGCAAGAAAGAACTCAGGGCAAGTCTTCAGTGCAAAGTGAAAGCGAGTTTATTAAGAAAGTAAAGGAATAAAAGAATGGCTACTCCATAGACAGAGCAGGCCCTAGGGCTGCTGGTTGCTCATTTTTACAGTTATTTTTTGATAATATGCTAAACAACGGGTGAATTATTCATGCTTCCCATTTTTAGAACATATAGGGCAACTTACTGATGTTGCCATGGCATTTGTAAACTGTCATGATACTGGTGGGAGTGTAGCAGTGAAGACAACCAGAGGTCACTCTCGTCGCCATCTTGGTTTTGGTGGGTTTTGACTGGCTCCTTTATTGCAAGCTGTTTTATCAGCAAGGTCTTTATGACCTGTATTTTGTGCTGACCTCCTATCTCATCCTGTGACTTAGAATGCCTTAACTGTCTGGGAATGTAGCCCAGTAGGTTTCAGCCTGATTTTACCCAGCTCCTATTTAACATGGAGTTGCTCTGGTTCACACGCCTCTGACATAAGCACTGAAAGTCCCATGACCCAGGAAACCCCCAATATGGGCATTAGGACAGTTGGTCACCGTAAAGGTCTTTTCCTCCACCGACTCCTTCTTAACCTGTGAACATTCCCATGTCACCTCTTTGTTAACCAATTCTGCTTCCCTTGAGCTCCTATTAATTCTTTTTCATCTATGGACTCCTAAACTTCTTCCAAGTGTAGTCCATGCTCTCACTATGTCCCTCACCTTCTAGAGGACTCCTAAACTTTCTCCTACCAAACTTCACTTGCCCTCCCTCTTGATAATGTTTCCATTGCATTTAGCACTACTGGGTTCTGGGACCATATTTTCTCCTTCCATCTCTAAAGCTGCTATTTCTCTGTCTCAGATCTAGGAAGTAAACCCTGCCTCTGCTGTCTCTGTCCATTTGGGACACCCCTCAGGGCCCAGGTCTTAGGTCTGTGCTTTCACTGATTTTTCCTGTAGGAAAAGCCTACAAGAGTCAGGTGGGCAATGCAACCTCTTAGGAAGCTAGAATGGAGATGGAGTGAACCAGACAGTATGTGCTCCATCTAAAGAGGTTTTACTTTAACAGGTTTTTAAAAGAGTGGGCCACCCTTGGTTTGAGTGCACAACTTTTGAGGTATAGCTGCAATCAGAAGTAAATTTTCAGGAGGATACGTGATCTAACCTGGGAAAGGAGTATTTCCACTGAAGGGCACAGTGGTAAATCTGGCTATACCTTACGCAAGAATTCATTACTCAGCTTTTGGAAATATCCCATTTTTGACTTGGGAGAAGTGTTCTTGGCCTTACATTGGGTTGAGAAGGCTCTTATCCTCACCTGACTTTGTGCCACCTTTATCCCCCAGTAGGTGATCAACAAGTTCCTAATCACACAGGTCATCACAGAGCAGTTATGACCTTGATGGGAACAGATAAGAACCAACTAGTGAAGTCCTGGGAACATCGTTAATGTGGGAAAAAAAATCTTCTAGCTGATAAAAATCTTTTCACTCATCACAGATTCATTCATCTTTCCATTGCAATTAAGGGGCAGCGTGTGGCATGATAGTGAGCCCGTGATGATAAGCAACTAATGAACAGATAGATCACATGAATTTCAGACACGAACAAGGTCAACAGCTTGAATATTTAAGCTGTTTTTAGTATTCAGTGTCACATGTCTAGAAAGGACTGTGAAGAATAATTTGTTTATTCTTCTGGTCTCTAGTGGAGCTGCATGTAAATAATCTCGTATTTTACATATTCCAAATTTTTATTATTTCCTTAAAGATTTTGTGTCCTTGGCTCCTTTATTAAAACAAATTTCTTGGGTGGATCACCTGAGGTCGGGAGTTCGAGACCAGCCTGACCAACATGGAGAAACCCTGTCTCTACTAAAAATACAAAAATAGCTGGGCGTGGTGGCGCATGCCTGTAATCCCAGCTACTTGGGAGGCCGAGGCAGGAGAATCACTTGAACCTGGGAGGCAGAGGTTGTGGTGAGCCAAGATCGCGCCATTGCACTCCAGCCTGGCAACAAGAGTGAGACTCTGTCTCAAAAATCAAAAACAAAAACAAACAAAAAAAATTTCTTCCTTCCCTTTTTTAGCATTTTTTTGGATGAATGTTTTATAGGCTTTAGAGTTGAATATAAAGTCAGTAAAACATACGTCTCTATCCTTAAAAAGTCTTTATTAGAGATGAAAGAACAAGATATACACAAGAGCAATGACTCTTGCAAAGACTTCTTATTGCTAATCCTAGATCTGCCATTTATTGGATGGCAACCTTGGGCAAGTAACTTCATCTCTTGCACCTCATCTCAGCTTTACCCTTTAAGTTTCTTTTCTGTAAAATGGGAGTTATGATAATCGTGCTGACTTTAGAGGGTTGTTCTGGTGTCCAGATGAAATGCATGTGAAGGACTTCACCTGGTATATATTAAGTACTTAACACATGTTAGCAATCATTAGTAACTTTAATACTCATACAAGTTCTGGTAATATTACCTTTATTTTATAGGTTAAAAAAATACCTGATATTTAATCAACCAAGGCTACTACATGGTTTATTTGGGCTTCCAAATTAGGCCTACTGACTTTATAAAATAAGCATTTTCTTCTGGATGATTCTACCTCCCCGACACAAGAGGTTTCTCACTGGTGATGGTGTTTTCTCCATTGTCAAGCCCCCTCTATGGCTGGTGCTTCATACCTGGGGCCCTGACACTTTGCCTCTCTTCATGCCCACTGACTGGGCCACTTCAAATTTCCACTCCCCTGGGCTCTTGAACTTGCGACTGCTTGGCCTGGTTTTTATACCCACATTGTTAGCACTGACTGATGTTAAGGTTCTCCACAGGTCTGACTGATCTAAGCAATCCCATATTCATTCATTCATTCATTCATCCATCCAATAAATATTTATGTTAACTCATTGTTAACTTGCAGGGCCTCACACTGTTACCCAGGCTGGAGTGCAATGGCATGACCACAGCACACTGTAACCTCAGACTTCTGGGCTCAAAAAATCTCTCATCTCACCCTCCCGTGTAGCTGGAACTGGCCTCAAACAATCCTCTCACCTCACTCTCCCGTGTAGCTGGAACATGTTGCAAGAAACCTCTCGAATTGATGGTGTAATGTTGTCCCAGTAATACCAAGAGTTCAGGAAAGCAAAATAGAAGGCTTCAGTATTCAAGGAGGTACATTTCACCATGCTCTGGAGTAAGTGATGGTAACAG
Organism: Homo sapiens; assembly: GCF_000001405.40. NCBI lineage: Eukaryota > Metazoa > Chordata > Mammalia > Primates > Hominidae > Homo > Homo sapiens. The sequence goes on along the minus strand of NC_000002.12, from coordinate 31,279,488 downwards.
AAGTTGAGGTTTTGTGAGGTCTCTGGGTGTCCGTTAAGCATAGGGGAGCTCCAAATGAACTGTTGACATCAGGCACACTTTTGCCTTTCAAGGGTTGTCCTTGTCGCCATTTGCATGACTCAACTTCAGCAGGCAGAGGGGGCAGAAGTTTGGCGTGTTGGGAAGGTTTGAGGACTCTCCCGTGGCTGCAAGGCCAAATCTCAGACTCACCAGCTCTGGTGTGTGACCGGCACAGCCGGGCAAGGCTGGAGGCTTTGTAGGTTGCTGCCCTTAGGACCCCACTTGCTGGGCCTGTGCTGACACGTCCAGCGCCAAACACCAGCAGATCGCCTATGATTAGCCTAGGCAGTTGGGAGGAAATGACAGGACTAGGAAACATAAGGCTGCCCTCTGTTAGCTTACAGCCTTGTTGGCAGACAAAAGACACTTGAACCCTTAATAAGTGCTCAGTTGCATGTTATTTGGTGTTGCATTTGTGGGTACCATCAAGTTCAGGAAAGGGAGAGGTCACTGTGGACTTGTGACAGGGCTGAAAAGAGGGGAATGTGCTACCAATCAGAGTGGGCTTGTGTCCTACCTGCCTTCTGCTGGAGGTTTTTGGCAGGCAACATCAGGAGGAAAGGGGATAGTGCCATGCCTTTGCCCAAGTGCTGCAAAGGGGTGAAAGGGAGGAAGGCAATTGTAATGTATTGAGCACCTTGTCTGTGCTAGGTCCATTACAGACATTGTTTCACTTTATTCTCATGAGAACCCTGTGACAGTGGCTTCAATTTCCTGTATTTTACAGATGTGGTTCAAAGAAGGGTTCAATAACCTGCCCAGGTGATAAGCTGCAGAGGCACTGGTAATGGGCTTGGTGGCCTTGAGAGAGGACTGTTTAATAATATGCAAACATTGTCCAGAATCTTTGAATTGCTCAAGCAGAGGCACTTTTCAATGTCTTCTTTCCAAAACTGGAATTGCTTAATAGAAACAGGATAGGAAGGTTGTGGTAAGGTATGGTTTGCAAAGTCGTTCTCAGGTGCTCTTTAAAACTGTTGCACTGCTAAAGAAATGGAACAAAAACAGTTATCACATAAGCAAGCACACACACAAATGCACAGAGTTTCTCTCTCTCTCTTTTCACACACACACAAACACACACACACACACACACACACACACACACACACGCTTGTGGATGCTGAAGCCCTGTAGACACTGCAGTGTTCCCAATACTTTGGCCAAAAAAAAGCTGGATTAGGGCCAGAAAGTACAATAACTGAAATAACTTCATATGAAACCATTGCAGGCAGCGGGAAGAGTCAGAGGAAGGGCACTGGGAGATTATTTTGCTTTTTATCCTTGCTTAATTAATGCTCACAGTGATGGGAGGGTGCACTGAAACTGATCATCTTTCCCCCATCACAAATATGCCCTTTTTATCTAAAAAAAAATGACTGTGGTTTGGGCCACATGAATGATACATTCGGCTTTCAAAGGATATTTCATTTTTGCATTGGAAGAAAATTAAGGTGTTCATTAAAAAAACAAAAACAACAACAAAAAACTTATCTAAAGAGTTGCATTTCCTGAGCTTCGAAGAAAAAAATATCTTTCCCTTCTCGTGACTTATCTCCCTTTCTTTCCACAATAAGTCATCCTGGGTTATTTTTTTCCATACATGGATTGAATGAGACCAACAACAAAAGGAAATGATAGGACATGATGATCTCAAAGCTTAGCCATGATGGAAGGTAGTTCTGAACAAGAGAACCGATGTGGGTTGCAGAGAAGGGGCTCACAGGAAAGGAAACCAAGGGCTCCCCAGATGAGCAGATAATTAATAAAATAATCAGGCCCCAAACCCCAGCTCAAAACATGAAACTCTCACCATGATATCCAGCAGTCATTGATTTTATTATTTTTTAATTTTATTTTGATGGGAAAGAAGGAGCCAGAGTGCCCAACTCCAGTGACCCAGAGCTCATGCCAGACAGTATTTCCTTTACTGCTACATATAGACATTGAAGTCCACCTGTACAGACAGAAAGGACCATGATTTCTTTCTTTTTTTAATTAATAAACATAATTTAAAAAAAAAATTTTTTTTTTTGAGACTGAGTCTTGCTGTTGTCGGCCCAGGCTGGAGTGCAATGGCACGATTTCAGCTCACTGCAACCTCTGCCTCCTAAGTTCCAGCAATTCTCCTGCCCCAGCCTCCCAAGTAGCTGAGATTACAGGCACCTGCCACCATGCCCTGCTGATTTTTGTACTTTTAGTAGTGGCGGGGTTTCACCATGTTGGCCAGGCTGGTCTGGAACTCTTGACCTCAGGTGATCCCCCTGCCTCAGCCTCCCAAAGTGCTGGGATTACAGGCGTGAGCCACCACACCTGGCCAACAAACATTACTTTTTAAAGCAATTTTAGGTTCACAGCAAAGTTGAACAGAAAGTACAGTGAGTTCCCATATATCCCTTGTACCCCACCCCACACAACTTTCCTCATTATCAACATCCCGCTCCAGAAAGCACATTTGTTGCAATAGAATCTACACTAACACATCACTGTCACCCAAAGCCACAGTTTACCCTAGGGTTCACTCTTAGTGTTGTACATTCTGTGGGTTTTGACAAATATATAATGACTAACTGCTTTTCAGATGCAATTCTTTGTGCATGTTTCAAAGGCATAATATTATAACGACTAGACAGTCATTGCTGGAAGATACTGCATCCAGAAGTAATTGGTCTGGACATGTGAGTGGCCAAGGACCGTCACAAGGAGACAGAACTTCATCAACTTCATCAGTGACTGTCTGAGATTTGGGGGGACATGATGATTTCCTGGGTCGTGTTCGGCCCCCAGATCCTGAGGTCTTGTAGCCTAGCCGTACACAATCAGGAACAGATTTCCAAAGGCATATTCTGTGAGGGGTGTTGCTTACAAACTCCAACCGCTAGGATCCTCACCACGAAGACCAGTTGGAATTCACTATGGCCAGGTTGTTATTCATTTAAAAGTATCTGCAGAGAATTCTTTTTCTCAAGACCTTTCAAAGATGGTAAAGTGATTGAGGATATGGAATAAGATCTTTGTGGTTTACTAAACTGTTAACTATTTATAGCATGTATTTATGTATATAATAAACTATATATAAGATACAATATGGGTTTGATATTAAATTTGACTCCTCTTCACTGAGGAACTGGTGAAACCTTAGTCTTGAGGTGAATGCGCCACAGTTCCCCGGGTATGTGCCAGGAAAGACACTGACAACTGGTCATGGAAACCGCACTGCTCTCCGACTCCTATCACCAGCAGTGTTCCAGGCCTGCTGCCAATCCATAGTCACTTTGATTTTGAAACCAGCTGTGGGTATCCTGACCCCCCTCAGGTCTTTTGTTGTCATCGTTCTTTGTCATCCACTGATCTTTTGTATCCTACAAGTCTGCAATTGAAACTGTCTCATCCTTGTCATTAGGGCTTTTAGATTGAATGTTAGAAAGTCTCAGTTTTTATATGCAGTTGTTCTAGGCTGCTGCTTAAGGGCAGTATCTTCATCAATTTCATTTCTAAGGAAGTGTCCCTCCCTTGAATGCTTGCTTTATGTAAAGCTGGGGCTGGAGCTGCACCTCAGGAAAGGATGCCTTCTCTCTCATCTGCCAACTTCTGTCTCTCTGAGCTGTGGCATGTCCTATAACAGGCGAGATTTGCCTTTTCTAAGAAAATAAGAAACTACAGGTGGAACAATCTGAGCAATGGTCTCATTCTGCACAGAATGAGCCCTGTGGTCCTTCTCATCATTCTGTAAGAATGACCCTCTGGCTGGAGCTGCCCAAGGGGTAACTTTGGGGCCACTTTCACAGGAGAAGTCCTGCACATTCCATGGCTCCATCTTCTCCCAGTGATTCAAAGTGGCCTGCCAAGGATCTGGTGCCATGTGGTACATATTTTCTGGCAAGACCACTGCACCTATTCACATGGTCAGCTAAGTAATCCCCAGCAGGCCATCCTCTGATTGGATTTGTCATCGAGCAATTGATTGTTCATTAATGCCAACAAGTATTTATTGAGCATAGACAGTGTTGCAGGTCATGTTCCCTGGGAAGCAGACTCTGAGATGGAGTTCATCATGCAAAACGTTTATTAGAGAGTGGCTTTGGCTTTACACTTGGGAAGGAAGAGAAGCAAGATTGGGCAGAGGGAGCAGTTGGGCTCTAATGCAATCACAAAGGCTCAGCTGACCCTATAAGGAGTTCTGAAGCTGGGATGTCCCTTCAGAACTGTTCCAGGTTGGGGCAAGGGGGCCAGACCTTCATATGCCCTCATTGATCAGTCATTGGGTACAGCTGCCCCTGGGAATGGGGTGTGACATAAGCAGTGAGGAGGCAGAACTCTGCAGGTGAGGGAAATTTCTGGAGACAGCTTGAAGTGGAGCAGCTGGATGAATAAGTCCTTTACCACTCAAAGGGGAGCTAGGGAAGTAGCAGGGTATGTATTGCTCTGTGCGAAGCATATTCTGTGCCCCTAAGAAGCTTATTATCTAGATAGGTGGAATTAAACAAGTGTGCAAGTGACAGTGTTATAAGGTGGCATCAGGCAGGTGGCACTTCCAAAGCTGTAGGGGTTTGCAGATGGCAGGGATGGTGGGAGTGGGGTGTCACATTTGCTTGGAGGAGATATTTGCACTGGGTCTTGGAGAATCCTAGCTTGAGGATTTTTGTCATTTTCTAGTCATTAGCCTGATTGAAATCCTTGGTGCATGAAGAGGACTTCTTTCACACAGACCACTAAACCAGGATTACAGACTAGACATTAAGTAAATCCCCAGGGCTGATAAATAACATCTGGCCAAGTGCTATAGCTCAGAGTTAGTTTTCTTGTTTTCTCTTCATCTCAAGAAGTTCCAGGAAATGTCGCTGAAGAGTTCAACGCTATCGTTATCTCAGGCCTCAATTCCTGTGGCTCTTGGATGCACCAGGGTATCAAGAGGATAAGCTGCAGCTGCTTGAGGCTGAAACAGTTACTCTGCGCAGGGCAAGAAGCACCAGCTGAGTTCTTTGCAGTGAGTTATATCTTTTCATTCCATTGCATATTCCTGAAGACTAGGCTTTTCTGGAATGAGGGGAATTGCCTTGTATGGCCAAGAAAGCTGTGGAGACATTTAGGAAGCAGAGATGATCTGGAGGGGAATTCCACATATAAGCAGGTGCCCACGTGGTGTCAGGTCCAGATACCTGCCTGACACTCCTCTCTTGCTGCTTTCCTTGCCAGACTAACAGGAACCCCTCTCACTGGGCTTAGGAGGCTCCTGTTAGACTCATATCCATGACCAGAGTCAGGGCTGCAGCATCTGACCCCATGGTCACACATACAGCCTCTTAGTTCTTCAGATCAGCCAGCTGTTCCATAGCAAAACTCAGCCCTGTAGGATGGAGCAGACATGGATGATGGGAATGGAGAGTGTGTGTGTGAGAGAGGGAGAGACAGAGACAGAGAGAGAGAGACTCTGTGTGTGTGTGTGTGTGTGTGTGTGTGTGTGTGTGTGTGTGTATGCATGCATGCACATGCACGTATGCATGTATTAGTGGCCTAGAGAGGACAGAATGCCCAGTCAGGAGAGGGGTGGTCCTCTGGCATCCTGAGCTGGGCCTGGATGGGCAGGAGAACAGGAGGGGGTGGCCTGTGAGAAAGGAAACCTGGACTGAAGTCAGATTTCACCAATGTTATGATGCCACTAAGCTTGAGATTCTTTCAAAGGTGAACCAAATCCTAGTTCTGCCCTGTGATGGGACTGAGATGCAGTAATGGGTCCCCTCCTTTCCATAATGATCTGGCATTTGCCACTGCCTTAGCTCCTTGTCTTCAAGGAGGTTTAAGAAATGCTATAAAAAAGCACTGGCTGTCAGAAAAGAAAACTTTACAACATAGTGTGATCCTGACACTTTGCAAATGAAGAGAAACATTTGCCATTAGAGTCAGGCGTTCAACACACTGGAGGATCTGCTGTCAGCCTTGGAGTTCTCAGGTGGTCTGCATCGTAACCAGACTGTCATGCCGCAATATACCCAAACCCACCCCAGTGAGTGCCCCTTGAGTGTCCACAGCCCCTTGTCAGCACCAGATCATGATGGCTGGGAAGGCAGGCAGGGACTTTGGGATATGCATTTACCTAGGAGGCAGTGGCCACAGTAGGCTAGGGCTGCAGGTTCCCCACAGGTCATCTCCAGGCCCCTGGGCACCTTTCAAGTATTCAACACTGTAAACATTGCTGCACTCAGATCCTTGGCAGGATCCCCCAACTCCACATCTCTTCTAGTCTCTTTTTCCTTTGTACTTTTACAGGGCTTGATTCTTTCCTTCCTTCCCATGTATAGGATTCTCACCTCTTCCCTGAAGCATGCCTCTTCTAGCACATTGGCAACAAAACTCTCTCATGTAGAGTGTTTACATTGTTGGTGAACTTTCCCATCTCCTTGTTGCCTCATATCTCCAAATGTCTGAAGTGACCCCACTTGGGGAAAGAATAAACAGAGGCACAAAGAGGCCCCATGGCTTGTTCTGTTGGAGGAACTCAGGTCACCAGATGCCCATGCACCTGCTCCCGCCAGACTCTCTCTGTGGAGTTGGTGTTTTTCTGTGCTGACCTGCCCTCAGGCCATGGCTGCCACCACTACACTTCAGTGATGCGCCCTGGGGTGGGGAAGGGTACCCTACACCTCATGAAATTCTAAGGGAAGGACATAGAACTGCTACTTCTGACATGTCCTTATTTTATAGCCTCAACTGTCTAACATGCACATATTCATCCCAATTAATTCTTAGGAAGGGATTCTTGCTTTGAAAATTCCCCCGCAGCATTCTTTCTGAGAAACGCTGTCATGTCCTCTCCTATCTTCAATTATCTTGCAAAAAACCACCTCTGTGTAGTGTCCCAACCTGACCCAAACACACATAGAGATGCACAAACACACACACACACACACCCTCCATGAAGCCTCTCCTGCTGCAGCCTAGGTCCCCTCTGTGCAATCTGTACATGGCAGCAGTGCTCAGGCACCATAGGTAGGTGGGCAAACACAAAGTGGCAGATGGTTGCTTACGGTGCTACCAGTGTTGCCATTGTTTCTCCAACCTCACAAACAAGACTTCCAGCTTCTTGAGCAAGTATAGGAAGCTGCAAAGCCAGAGAGCTGCTGTTACAGCTGTATAGCTGCTGGGTCCACCTCTGGCATGATCTACTACAGCACAGTCTCCCACAAGTATATCTGGTTGGCGGGACCTAAAATCACATCCTGAACCTGGCTGCAAGGGAGTCTGGGAATTGTAGTTTTACTCTTTCCAACCTGGATATCTCCCTGTGTAACCCTAGGCAGACAAATACCCAGTCAATCCCCAGTACCTACATTCCTGAAGAGAGAAGGCAAGTCCTGTTCTCATTTGACACTGTAAGTGGGAAGTTCTCTAACTTAAAAAGTCACACTGAAGGGTGGAGCTAGGATATGGCAGAATACAACTCAGACACTGAAGGGCTTTATGTGAATCACCCATCCCTTCAGCTTCCAGTGACCTCAGTTCTTTTTTTTTTTTTTTTTTCTTTGAGACGGAGTTTCACTCTATCGCCCAGGCTGGAGTGCAGTGATGTAATCTCGCCTCACTGCAGCCTCCGCCTCCCAGGTTCAAGCGATTATTCTGCCTCAGCCTCATGAGGAGCTGGGACTACAGGCACGCACCACCATGCTCGGCTAATTTTTGTATTTTTAGTAGAGATGGGGTTTCACCATATTGGCCAGGCTGGTCTTGAACTCCTGACCTCGTGATCCACCCACCTCGGCCTCCCAAAGTGCTGGGATTACAGGCATGAGCCACTGCACCTGGCCAACCTCAGTTCTTAGGAAGGCAGGAACTTGGTTTCCAAGAAACTTTCTTTGCTTTTCACTTGCTTCATGGGCTAAACTATTGACAGACTTACCAGGTCTCTGGTCATGATGGTATAGGCTATGTCAGGTAACAGCCCCATGACTATCCATGGTTTAACAGTAAAATGATGGAGTTTATGTCTTATTCATGGCATCTGTCCAGTGTAGGTCGGGAAGGGGTTTTAGCATGACCCAGGACTTAGGCTCCATTTTCACACTCACTCCCACACACATTCCTGGAGAGGCAGGAAAAGTAGAATGTGGCAAATTGTACATTTGTCTCTGCGAGGAAGAGACATGTTGCTTACACACCTACTTCATGAGCCAAAGCAAGTCACACAGCTCGCTTACTTCAAAGGGAGAAAACCAAAGTCCTCCCATTAACCCGGGGACAGGAGAACCGACCTGTGGTAAACAGCACTAATGAGGAGTCTGTGCCCGTGACGTGCCCCTAGTGTACTCATCACTCGGCCGGGATAACTGACATTCTTCCATCACCATTTTTCTTTCCCTCCAGGCACTTAACATTTCAACTTTAAAGATACTGATACAATTTTCACTTGAAAATGGCCTATGAAAAAACAGCACAGTCCCCAGAGGCAAAATTCTAATCATGCTTTTCCACAAATACTTCAGTGGTTCTCAGTCTGTCATGATTTAGTGGGCTGAGAATGCTCTGTGTTGTGTTTTATGTAAAAATTCTGCCTGTCTTCCTTAGATCAGGAAGGAAGAAAACAGGCCCAAGAGGTTGGCCCCAGACGGTTTCTCAGTTCCAGTGCCCATCCTGCTACAGGCTTTCTCTGACCACCTCCTCCCCAGTTTGAAGCCATTTCTGACTTTCTTGAGCATCCCCCTTTCATGTTCCCTCACCGTATTATCAGTGTTTGCATAAGTGCCTCATCCCCTCTACTAGGCTGTGAGCTCTTTGATCCATATAGAATTGTCTCTACACTCAGGTAGACTTTATATTGAGTGTTTTTGAATGACTCAAGGAATGAATCTCTATATTCTCCCTCAGGATGTTTTCTGTAAGAGGTGCTCAGCATCTTTTGAATATAAAAAAGATCGATGGATGAATGGATGGAGAAATTAAATAAAGGATTGAGGATGTATAGACTCCAGACAGCATCACATAGGAAGAATAAACAAGCCTATTCTCTTCAGGTCATTCAGCAGATTCTGATGAGTTAACTCATAAATACAGGTTTTGGAACCAAATGGAAGTGGGGATGACTCAGGGCAACCACTCATCACTCTGCAAACCAAGGCCCATGCCCTGCTATGGTTCAGTGGTGTCATCTGGAAATATTCATGTAAATGAGCACCCCAGTTTTCTAAGAGCTGTTTTTTTCTTCCTCTCTTCTTTTTTCCATTTCCTGGATTCCCAACTTCCTAGGTAGCCCTTTAGAAATGCAAATATAGGCCTGGCGCAGTGGCTCTCGCCTATGCCTGTAATCCCAGCACTTTGGGAGGCTGAGGTGGACAGATCACTTGAGGTCAGAAATTCAAGACCAGCCTGGCCAACATGGTGAAACCCTGTTTTCACTAAAAGTAAAAAAAAAAAAAAAAAATTAGCCAGGCGTGGTGGTGGAGTACCTGTAGTCCCAGCTACTTGGGAGGCTGAGGCACAAGAATGGCTTGAACCTGGGAGGCAGAGGTGGCAGTGAGCTGGGATCATGCCACTACACTCCAGCCTGTGCGACAGAGTGAGACTGTCTCAAAAAAAGGGAAATGCAAATATAAGCTTTCATCTCCCCTTCACTAGACATTCCCTACAGGGCAAGTTCATCTCTCTGCTCCAAAATAGTCCTCCAGAATTGACTGCCAATTTGCAGACCAAAACATGCCCTCCTTGAGCTTTCACCTCCAGGGGTTGCCTTGGAACTCCCACCCTCCAGGGGCTGCCTCAGGACTTTCATTCACTAGGAGGTTATATCTAAAGTATGCCTACTTGGCCACTTTTAAAATTTATTTTTGCCCAGGAAGGCCCGACTCAACTGTCCAGTAGATAAGGCACCATGCTATCAGGCGGACCCTTGCTCACTTGCTCCCTTACCTTATAAAAGTGCCTGCTTTCTGCTCCAAAGGGGAAGCGGCACATTGAAAGGCAGGACGTTGTGTGCCCCTCCTCCAAGCTAGCTTTGGAATACATTCACTTTATTGGTATCAGACTTTACTCTTGTCCGTGGGACTTTGCATACATTGAGCAACTAACCCGCATTTCAGTTACATTCATGTCACACTTTGGTCATGATTTAGCTCTTTGGTACCAGGGGCAAGCTTTGCTTGGTCAGTAGCATAGGGTGTTGCTGTGTTTATTGGATGGATTCCATGGCCCAGACTGAGTAATGTCGGGGCAAGGAACAACAGGACAAGTGCTCTAGAAATTCTTGTCTGTGGGGCTGACATGACATGTCTCTGCTTTCCCTATTAAATGTTTCCTGGGCTGAGGCATGAGATCTCCCAGGCCCCTGAAGCCTGGAAGGGGTCAGAAAGCCAAGGCAGCAAGGCTAGAGGGCACTGCCAGGGAAAGTGACCCACATCTGTCCCCTCAAACATCAGTTCCTCTTTCCAGGGAGATGGGAGCTGTGCAAACATGGAATTCCCACACCTCACAGGTCTCTCCTGGGTGGAGACTTCAAGATGGAGAGAGGGAAGAGAGGCAGCATATGTAGAAGGGCAGGAAAGTGGCATGTGTGTCCAGTGGCAGTGAAGAAAGGGGATAACAGACATCTCCCTTTCCTATAAAATAAAAAGACAGGAACTTCACCTACCTCTGCTATTTCCTTCCCATTTCTCCTTCAGCTTGAAGAAAGGTGTGGAGTTGAGAAATGGTCCCTAACCTGCACTCGGCACTCAAGGGTTTTCTCCAGAGCAGGTGAGACCTCTTTGCCTGGCCTTTGTCTGCCCTTCATTTCATGTGAAAGAGAAATGTGTATTTGCAGAAGGAAGCCCAGGGGCTTAGGGAACATCTTCACTCCAGAGGAGCAGGGAGCGGTGGCTCCACCAGCTGTGCCTGGGTTGGTCACTGAGCCTAGACAAACTCCAGCCCACTGGGAAGCTGGTTGTGGATGCTGGCCATTGGGTGGCCCCAGTGAGCCCTTTCCAGCCAAAGATTTCACCAGGAACTCCAAGTAAGAACCCAGCCCTTCTCCCTCAGCCTCCATTGAATGATGCTCTGTGGCCAGGCAGGTACCAAAGAATAAATGTACTGTATTAACATGAAGACTAATGACAAATGCACTGCAGTAGTAAGCACGTCATAGATGCATAGAATATTCTCTATATAGTCTGAATATGGATATAAAATAAGTTATACTCATTTTGTTTTCCATCACAGTAGGAGCATAGCATACAAAGTGATTGGTTCAGTGGCCATGAAGCAAGCCAGGGGAGAGACCACAGAAGAGAATGTAGGGCATTGAGTACAGTGGGGATTTGCCAAGGACACTGCAGAGTCCCTGGGGACCCTCTGGGGAACAAGGCCCCAAACCTCTCAAGTTAGCCTTCTGAGAATAGTATGAGGTCCCACTTGACAAGAGACAGTGGCTGCATCTGAGCTGGGATGATTCAGGCAACTGGGTGGGAGGCAGAGCAGGGACAGGCACGAACAGCATCCAGCAGGCTAGCCCACTCTCCTGCTGGTGCTGTTGGATGTCTATGATGCTGGGAATATGGGGCGCAGAGCCAGAAGGCACGGTTTGCTTCTGTGACGTGACAGATGGCCAGACTGATGGGCCACCAAATGCTGGCCGGCCCTCCTCCCTTGCCAGCCTGTCCTGGGAGGCTGCAGGGGGCCTGCATACTTTGCTTGTTCTCCATAGTTTGTCATTGGGTATCAATGCTGGGATCCTGCATACATCATAGCACAGACAAGTGTGTGAGGGTCTGAGGCCCTGGCTTTGAATCCTCTCTCCATCACGTGACTTCTGTGAGTTTCAGAAGGTCGCCTAAACCCTTCTGAGGCTACTCAGCCTCCTCAACTGCAAAATGGGAAGGCTAATGCATACTTCCCTGGGGCATCAGTGAGGGCCACATAGAATAATGTATATAAAGTGCCTAACACAGCTCCTGGTACGCAGGAGGGGCTGGGTAAATGTGAGTCAAGTATGAACATCTAAACATCATAGGCCAGGTGGAAAGAACATCTAACAAAATCTATGAACTAAAACCACCTTGACTGGTTTTCAATAGACTACAGGACAATTTCCTCACTCTTATCAATTTTTTTCTCTTCTCTCTCCCGCTCTGGGATTCTTTAAAATGAAATACTGGCAGAGTTCAAAGCAAGGTTTGCCGAAGAAGACAGAGGCTTAGATTAGGAAAGAACAGAGCTCCTGGGCCAATGTCTCTAGAAGACGCTTCCTTTCTCACCTCTCCTCCCTGCAGCTGCCCGCCTGCCCTCAGATCTCCTAGCTCTTGAATGGATTTCTTATTAGGAAGCCAAAGCAGATAGGGGAAGCACAGAAAAAGAAGTGAATTGTCTACTAAATGAAAAGTCTTTTCCATTTGCTCAGAGCCCGGGTGTGGAAGCACTGGGGAATCTGGAGGTGGGTTGGCCATCTGTGCTGGCAAGTGAATTGCCTCAGGTCTGGTATCTGGGGAGTGGCCGAGGAGAGGGGAAGAGCGATAGAGACTTAGGCTTAGACTCTGGGGCCTGGGAGTGCTCTTGTCCTTCTAATCCCGAGAACTTGGAGGTGTGCCCAAACAAGTATCAGCTGCAAACATGGGCGTCATGGTCCTCTCTCACCTACAGAGCAATGTCAAGATATGCATATGTGTGTGTGCATGTTTGTGTGTGTGTGTGTGTGTGTGTGTGTGTGTGTAGTCACCGCTCCCATCTCCTCCTCTAACACTGCCCGTCTGAATGTCCCCCCACCCCATCACTCGGCAACTTTCCTCTTGGACGGGGGCAGGAGGTGGGCAGGCAGCTCGTTGGGCAGCTCGTGCCCCTCCAGCTTGACTTTGATGAGGTGGTTGGCCAGTGCAAACTCGTCGTCGTCCAGCATGCCATCCTTGTCAATGTCGGCCAGCTTCCAGATCTTGCCCAGCACACTGTTGGGCAGCTTGGAGCGCACCATCTCCTTCTTGGCATTAGCGCCTGTGATCTTGCCATCCACCGGTGACAGGGTGTAGAAGATCTCGTCGTACATGGGCTTGTCCCTGGCCACCACCCACTCAGCATCATCGATACCTTCTCCAGCCCCCTCCCCATAGCCATGCCCAAAGGGGCCGTGCAGGGTGCCCTCGAACGCTCCGCCCTTCACCATCTGGATGGGCCGCTGTGACTCCTCCTGGCGCACTAGCACCATGAGCTGGGCAATGTCATGGGCCAGCATGTCGTCCACTACCTCCAGCAGCTTGCTCTTCAGCGGCTGGAACTTGCTAAAGTCCTGGGCCTGCAGCTGGTCCTGGGAAGAGGAGGAGAGAGGATGAAGATAGGATACGATGAAAGGAGAGCCCTCCATTTATCACGTGCCTCCTATGAGCACCAGAATGTTCACAGCTGATCCCTTTCTACAATGAAAGACCTGTGACCTAGAGGCTCAGCTGATGGACATCACGTGGTAATCGAAGGTATGAGAGAGGAGGGGAATAAAGGCCCACTGGGCTGATGATGGGATTTTTCAGTAGGGGGTAGAAGGGTTGTAGGGGCTGGGGAAGAAAGGGAAATTTAACAAGTATTGGCATGATCTATTTATTTCAATCCCCTTCAATGTCATTCCAGAGAGGAAATCATTACATTTCTCTTTAAGTCAGTTTTGGCTATTGAATCATGTCTCTTGAATGCTGTACCTCTGAGACTGGGTCATGTGGGCCTCTACTTTAATAAGGGTTATACTGTACTTGAAAATCACCGCAAGTGCCTTCACTACATTACCTCGTTCACTCCCCCAGCGCCCTTCTGAGGTAGGAAAATCACATTCTATCCCCACTTAGTGAAAACAAAAACAAAAACCAAACAGGGCACAGGGTACTAAAACCAAATCATAACAGAAGCCAAAGGTCATCCCCAAATTATGGTTCTTAATCAGGATGCTCATCGGAGTCACCTGAGGAGAGTTTTCAAAATACAGTCATGTGCTGCATTACAATGTTTCAGTCAATGAGGGACCACACGTATGACGAGGGTCCCAGAAGACAATAAGGGAGCTGGGAAATTCCTGTTGCCTGGTGACATTGTAGCTACTGTACACAACACAACGCATTATGTGTTTGTGGTGATGCTGGTGTAAACAAACCTACTGTGCTGCCAGTGGTATAAAAATCTAGCACACACATTTCCATAGAGTACATAATACCGGATAATGATAACGGCTATGTTACTGGTTTATGTAAATATTTACTATACTGTACTTTTTATTGTTATTTTAGGGTGTATTCTTTCTACTTATTTAAAAAAAATGTTAACAGTAAAACAACCTCAGGCAGGCCCTTCAGGAGGAATTCCAGAAGAAGGCATTGTTATTACAGGAGATGACACCTCCATGTGTATTACTATCTCTCAAGACCTTCCAGTGGGACAAGATGTGGAGGTGAAGACAGCGAAACTGATGATGCTGACCCTGTGTAGGCCTAGACTAGCATGGGTGTTTGCATCTTAGTTTTTAGCACACACAAAAATAAAAAAGTAAAAAATAAATTTTTTTAAATAGAAAAAACTTATAGAATAAGGATATAAAGAAAATATTTGTGTATAGATATACAATGTACATTTTAAGCTAATTGTTACAACAAGAGTCAAAAACTTTGTAGGCTAGGCGCGGTGGCTCATGCCTGTAATCCCAGCACTTTGGGAGGCTGAGGCAGGCGGATCACGAGGTCAAGAGATCGAGACCATCCTGGCCAACATGGTGAAAACCCCGTCTCTACTAAAATTACAAAAAAAATTTAGCTGGGCATGGTGGCACATGCCTGTGGTCCCAGCTACTCGGGAGGCTGAGGAGAATCGCTTGAACCCAGAGTTGGAGGTTGCAGTGAGCCGAGATCGCGCCACTGCACTCTAGCCTAGCAACAGAGTGAGACTCTGTATCAAAAAAAAAAAAAAAAAAAAGTCTGTAAAGTAGAAATGTTAATTTATTATTGAAGAAAGAAAATGTTTCTAAAAATAAATATAGTGTAGCCTAAGTGTACAGTGTTTCTAAAGAAGTCTACAGCAGTGTACAGTGATGTCCTAGGCCTTCACACTCACTCACCACTCACTCACTGGCCCACCCAAAGCAACTTCCAGTTCTGCAAGCTCCATTCATGGTAAGTGCCCTGTACAAGTATACCACTGTTTATCTTTCATACTGTATTTTTACTGTACCATTTCTATGTTTAGATACACAAATACATGGTGTTACAATTGCCTACAGCCTTCAGTACAGTCACATGCTAGGTCTGTGGCCTAGAAGCAATAGGTCATCATACCATATAGTCCAGGTGTGTGGTAGGCCCTACCATGCAGGTTTGTGTATATACATTCTATGGTGTTCACACACAATGACAAAATCACCTAACAATGCATTACTGAGGATGTGTCCCTGTCATTAGCAAGGCATGACTGTCCCCGAGGGTTTGACACAGCAGGCACAGGCAGGCAGGTGGGCATGCCGATTTTGAAAGAGCTCCTCTTGCCTTCACATGACAACCCACACCACACCATAAAAGAAATATCTTCCACTTTGCAGGTCTCTGCAATTTTGAAAGTTTTCGAGTCTAGAACACCAACTTCTCCATGGCCTGTAGAGGGTGATAGGGTGACAGCTTTCTGCTCCTACCCTGGCTCTGGCCACCTAACTCTCCAGAAGCTGGGAAGAGGCCAGTACACAGGGTGAAGCACAGCTAGTCTGCTGCAGAAAAATGCAAAAAACACCCACAGCTTTCTAGGGCAAGTGTTAGCCTGGGTACTTCTCACCTCCTTCCTAGGGTGAGGCTGAGCCAGGAAGGCCTTAGGGCTGAAGGACTCCTGGAGGAGGAGCAGACAGGGCCCTATCTCCCACCCCTCAGAGCATCACGTCCCAAGGTCCTCCCACCTCTCATTCCTCCTGTCCCTCCCAGCCTGCTCACATCTAGGTATGTTTGGTGGGCTCCCATGCAGGGGTCCCAGTATCAACTAGGGGGCATGGTGGGTGCTCCCATTACCCTACGATGGACACCCACACAGGACAGCTGTTTACATTGTGGATTCAGCATATTGAACTGCAGAACAGAATATTGAACTGGCAAACAAATGAGGTGAGAATCTTTGTTTTGAAAGAATTCCTCACATTAAAACTGGGGTCTTAGGGTCCCTTTCAAATGTTATCTTCCCAAATGTTTGCTTACAAATCATTAAATTCTTAACAAAAGCAGAAGCGAAGAGCTGAAGTGCTCCAAGTCAAGGACCGGGAAACCCGCAAAACAAAAGCAATGCTGGTTAGTGAATGGCTCGTGGTAGGTGGTTATATGAGTGAATGGACACATGAACAAATTCCAAATACTTGGAATGTATATTTTTTTCTTTTTCTTCTGCCGGATAGGAAACTAAAAATGCCTATTGAGGACTATAGTGATGTTATGAAAAACCTAGATTTAAACTGAGAAACTGATTCCCAAGCTAAAGATCAAAACAAGAGCAACAGCATCTATTAAGTGCTTCTGTGGCTGCTATTTTTTGATTTTTCTAATTCCCTAATTTTTTTATTTTTTGAGATGGAGTCTTTCTCTGTTGCCCAGGCTAAAGTGCAGTGGCACAATCTTGGCTCACTGCAACCTCTGACTCCTGGGTTCAAGTGATTCTCATGCCTCAGCCTCCCGAGTAGCTGGGATTACAGGTGCTTGCCACCATGCCCAGTTAATTTTTTTGTAGTTTTATTACAAGTTTTGCCATGTTGGCCAGGCTGGTCTCGAACTCCTGGCCTCAGGTGATCTGCCCGCCTCGGCTTCCCAAACTGCTGGGATTACAGGCGTGAGCCACTGTGCCTGGCCTCTAATTTCCTAATTCTAGAATCATAAGAAGTTGCAAACATTGTACAGTGGGTGGGTGCTTTGTGCTCAGCACCCACCTCCCTCTGCCCACCTAATGATTTGCTACTGTGTACTAAGGGCATAGTCTGTCTGGCTTTGTGCTAAGGGCTTTGCAAAGATTATCTCACTGATGCTCACAACACCTGTATAAGGCGTGATTTTGTAGCTTCAGTTTACAGATGAGGAAATGGAGGCTCAGAGGATCCAGTCAATGTTGTGGTTTCCTGCTTGGACCTTTGGGCCCAGCTCCTGGCTCTTCTTCTTGTGGCCTATGTGAATGCTACACTCAGAAAATGCTGAGACCTCTGTTTCTTCTGTAAAAAGGCAGATGAAAAATGCCTCCCTCTGATGAGTGCTTTGGGGAAAACCGTAAGAAACCATGTGTGATGGCCACTGGCCCAAGATAGGCACCTGCAATAGGACCCAAAGATGACGAGTTCCCGTGTGCACTTCTGCCTCCCCGAAGCTCGTGTCCCAGATTGCTCACAAGGGGGACCTCAGATGTAAACTCGAGCACTTTAAGAGCCTGGAGAACCTTGGTCAGGTGACCCATCCCACTGCACCAGAGATGGTGGGGACGTCAAGCCTGTGGTGGCTGTGACTAGAGAAGGTCATTAACTGGAGGTGTCAGCCCCCCAGCATCATCTAACACACCTGCACCACTGGGGCGGTGGGCTCCGTGTTTCTCCCCAGGCCCAGACATGGCCCCTGTTGGGCCAGTGATGGCCCAGCTAGGAGTGTAGATCCAGGGCCACCTCCTTGCCTGCAGATTCTGGGCGGGGTTCTCCCTGGGGGGCTCCAAGAGTGGCCTCCTCCATACTCAGGCTGCTCAGCCAGCTCTCGGGACACTGTCCCTTGTCTTAGAGACCCCAGCCCTCGCTACCTGCATCCTCTTCAGATTGGGGAAGTCCCCAGGTGAGATCTGGTGCTCCCGCTCGATCCGGCCATAGATCTCGGCCAGGTTGTTGACCAGCTCCTTCTTCTTGTTGTCCTTCCCGAACACCGAGGGCATCTCCTTCTTCAGAGAGCTGATGATGTAGGCGTGGACCTGACAAACAGGGCCAGAGAGAAGCCTTCACATCAAGACCCTGGACGGTCCCTTCCTTCTAGGATGGCTCTTGCATCATTCCTTCCCCTACATCCCTCCCGCCTCCTCCTGCTCCTACTTTTGAAATAATTTCTACCTCTACCCTCATGGCTCCATGTTGCTTGCAGGGCTGGGCTGTTTTTCTATGTTATGTGGGCAAGGTGAGGTTGTGGGGAGCTATGGTCAAGGCAGGGTGAGGTGGTCATGTTGCTGCTGCTGAAGGCAATACCAGCAGCTGACAGTTGCTGAGCATCTCTGAAGGTGCCAGACACTGTGATGAGGGCTTTGAGACTCTTTATTTCACTTTATCCTCCAACAACCCCTTCATTTTACAGATGCAAACAGAGGCACAGAGAGACTAAAGGCCTTGCCAAGGCTGGGAATCCCACAGACAGTAAACAATGGAGTCAGTTCCAATCTGGCCATCTGACCTGAGAGCTTGTAACCATGGCTCCCGCACTGTCCTGCCCCTTGGTGTCACACACATGATGCACTGGCTGTTGGAGGCAGCAACCCTCAGCTCGTGCAGCTGACCCCAAACTCTGGGCCCCTGCCCAAGCTGCCCACCTCCCAGGGGGCTGCCTCACCTTGGCCAGCCTGGCCCTTTTGATGAGGTCGTTGAGCTTGCGCAGGGCAGCATTTCGGGGCAGACTCTGGATGTCCCTGAATAGGTCCTGTTCCTCAGCCTCAAAGAGCTTCCGGTTGTCAGGGATGAGGAGGGGGTGGGACCAGAAGGAGCCGATGTAGACCCGGATCACCTCTGGGGTGTTCACGATCTTCCCCAAGGACCACATGAGGGCCCCGTACACCCGCATCAGCTGCTGCGTCTCGATCTGGTCAGCTTTGTTCAGCACCACTCGCATCTTGTCCTCGTGGTTCTTGAGGGCTTTGATGACTTCTGAGAACTCATCAGAGATGTCCAGTTTGTGGGCATCGAAGAGCAGAATGATGCGGTCAACCCGCTCGGCAAACCACTCAAGGACAGCTGCAAAGTCATACCCTGCCGGCAGAGGGACAATCAGGGGCTGGGGCCTTTGGGGTATAGGGTAGGGGTTTGGAGAAGCAGTCGGGTGTGGTAGAAATAACACAGTCTTGGGAGTCAGATCTAAGTTTAAATCCTGGCTCCTCCACATTTTAACTGTTTGGACTCCAGCAAATTACTCAATGTCTCATAGAATTTTTTTCGTCTAAAAATACTGTTAAATACTAAAATAATATGAATACCTAGTTAATAGAACTATGAAGATTAAATACTCTTAGAATCCGGCACTTAGTAGGTGCTCAGTAAATGCTAGTTACTTTTTTTTTTGAGACGGAGTCTTGCTCTCTCACCCAGGCTGGAGTGTAGTGGCACTGCCTCTGCTCACTGCAACCTCTGCCTCCTGGGGTCAAGTGATTTTCCTGCCTCAGCCTCCCGAGTAGCTGGGATTACAGGCATGCGCCACCATGCCCGTCTAATTTTTGTGTTTTTAGTAGAGACAGGTTTAACCATGTTAGCCAGGCTGAGTCTTGAACTCCTGACCTCAGGTGATGCGCCTGCCTTGGCCTCCCAAAGTGCTGGGATTATAGGTGTGAGCCACCGCCCCCAGCCAGCCACTGCGCCTGGCCTAGTAACTCTTATTAACGTCATTATTTCCATACCAGCTCCCCTATCCGTGCTTACTGTATTTAGCAGCCCGCTGGAAAAGAAAGTCTGGACACCTAATCTGACACAAAGACCCAGAAATTCTTTCTAAGGTCTGAAAACAATGAAACACTAAAAAGTAGATACTGATGATGGTTCAGACCATGCCTGTCACTGGTCTGGAAGAAATCTGCAATTCTTGTTATAAAAACATCTTGTTCTCACTCAGGCTCTTTCCTTTGTAATCAGCTGCAGCACAAAATTCCCAACTCTTGAAACCACAAGGGGTTTCTTCCTTAGGATGTGACTGGAACTCTGGCCACCCGCATCTTGGTTATCTAGCACTAAGCTGCTTTAGGTCAGACTGGTTACAGGAGCCCCAGAGAAGTTGTTCTGCTCAATCCCAAGTAGCTGTGGATCCAGTAGGAGCTGAAGTAGGAGGGTGGACCAATAGTCTATACATTCACTGACACCCAGAGCCCCAGTAGGTCTTACCTCTGTGTCTCAGGCTCCTCTTACATAAAATAGGAAGACAAGAGATAAGGAAGTGGGGCTCAGAGAAGTCAAGTGATTTGTCGAAGGGCACACAGCCCATGAGCAGCAGCAGTCGCATGAAGATGGAGGTGTTAGGCTTTCCCATTCTGAGTCTGAGCAGGGTTCTCAGCCTCTCCTCCTGCCACTCCCCCGTGGCATACCTCTGGCACCAAGGTAGGAGCCCTTTCTTGGGTACTAAAGTGACCAACCATCCTGGCTCCCCATAGCACAAGGGTTCCAAGGTGACACACACTGGGGACCCAAAGCTCATTGCCACCATCGAATGGGAAACCAAATCATTAGGAAAAAGCCTGCCCTGCCTCACAGAGGGAGGCTAGAGACCAGGCAAGATCATCAGGCAACTGCCTTGTGAGTGAGTCAGACTTAAGAAGCTCTGACTGTCTTTAACAGGGGTCCTGACTTAGCCTCCATCAGAATCCCCCCAGGGCTTCTTAAAACCCAGATGGTTGGACTCTATCCCCAAAGTTTCTGATTCAGTAGGTCTGGCGCAGAGCATTTCTAACAAGCTCCCAGGAGATTCTGATGCTGTTGGTCCAAGGGCCACACTTTGAATACCACTGGCCCATAAAAATAACAATAGCATTCAAAAGGTGTTCAGCACTGACCTAAGTACTTTATAATCATTCATTCCTTTAATCCTCACGATGACTCTGTGTAGGGTCATTAGACACTAATATCAGCCCCACTTCTCTGAGGAGTAACCAGAGATACAAACAGATAAAGGAACTTGTCTAAGGTCACCCAGCTGGTAAGCAATGGGCTGGGACTCAAGTCCAGGAAGGTAGCCCTGGAGTCAGTGCTATGAACCACTGCACCGAGTTGGCTTTCACTTTCAAAGGCTGTCATTTCAGACTAAGTAGCAGGCATCGATGGGGTGGGGGATGAGGATGAATGGAGCCAACGGAGCTAGGTTTAAAAAGCCTTTCCCCCACCCTGTGGCATCTAGTGAACACCCAGTGGGGTACATATTTAGGACGTGTGGAGGCACTGCCACAGGGGGTAGGGGGATGGGATCAGACGGTCGGGAAAACTTGCTGCCCTAAAGCTTCCTGGAGGACCCCTGTAATGTTTCCCTGGTGGCTGTAAGAGAATTCTAACAAACAAAGGAAGGTCAAACCCTCCTTTGGTTACCCGGATGCCAGTACTACTCCATTTTCAGCTCCTCTGTCTTTGGTAAATGAAGTGCTTCCAAGCATTCCCATTGCCATGTGATTTTCTCCAAGATCTGTCAGCTGCTCAATGAATATACAGCTCAACTAACACCTGAGCCTTCTCCCCCTGCTCCTGTGGCGTAGACCTATGAGGCTACGAGGAGCTTAGCCATCAATGGTCCAACTTCCTGATTTACAGATAGGGAAACTGAGGCTCAGGAAGGGGCAGAGCTGGCCCAGTATCTCCAGGTGCCATCCTGAGGATAGTTCCTGATGGGTGCGTCATCGAGGGCCTGGTGTGAACTAGATTTTGCCTTCTCTTTTGAACACAGGTGTCCTGTCTCGGCTCAGAGACAAGGCCCAGGAAAGTGCTTCAGAGGCTGCTCTGCCCAGTGGGCAGGGGCATCATCAACCCTCCCTCGGAGATGTTCACGCAAACTCTAGGAGTTAAGTGACTCAGCCAATACCACCCATGAGACACGACCCCTAGCCTCCAACTCGAAGTTCAGTGCTTGCTGCAGACGGTAAGATGTTCATGTCATTATCTCATGTCACCCTCACGACACGCTCTGAGGCAGGCAGCGCGAGGAGTATCGTTCTCACTTCCAGGGGAGGAAACTGAGGTTCAGAGAGGAGAGAGTCAAACAGTTGGCAAGTCGTGAGGCCAGATGACCCAGCTGTCAGCCATCCAGCCGTTCTGCACCTGGCCGCTCCCTGCCTCCCTCCCTCCCTCCCTGGCACGCAGGCACAGCCAGCTCCTCACTGGAGCCCGGGAAGCCTAAGCATTCCCACTTCAGGTGAAGCCTGCAGCCCGCACTACTCCCCTCCTTCCTACATCCCTCTGTCCATCCTTCCCTTCCCAGGGATGGCTCCAGCCTATTTTTATCTTCCCTTCAGCACAGCGCATGGCAAGGCTGCTGTCACCTCCCAAAGGCAGTCCCTCAGAGCTGTGGGTAGGGAGGGGCCAGAGGGCTAAGAAAATCCCCAACCCCCACCTCTGCAAACAGCTCACAGCAGGAGGGCAGTAGGGACCCTCCACAACTCCCTGCCAGGCCTCTGGCCTTCTGCTGCTCCTTATTCCCCAATCTGGATTTTAGCTGTGCCAGTGCAGGCCACAGGAGGGGCTGCTGGGAGGACCAAGACTGGGCTGCAGCTCCCTCTCACCTGTCCAGCAAATCTCAGCCCCAATATATTGGCTCAATGGCTCAGAACAGGCTAAGGCAGCCAGGGCAGCCAGTGTTGAGTCCTATGCTGACAAGGTAATGGAGGTTTATAGAGGGTGAGAGAAAGGCCCAAGGCCATGCAATGCTGGGGGTCAGAGCCAAGACCTGAACTCCAAACTCAACTCTTGCACTGTAGCCACGCCTCCACCAGGCTGGGGAAAACAAAGACACCAGAGAAGCTGCAGAGAAGGGAAGAGGCTCTGTCCCTGCAACTTGCTGCAATCCCTGATGACACCAGCGATGTAAGAGAAGGCTGTGTCTGCAAAGGCTGAGGGGCAGCAATATGTCCATGCTGCCAGAACAGGATAGACCCCTGCCTATCCCTGTCCCTGCCCTCAGTGGTCTTGTAGCATCATGCACGCTCCTGTTCTGCTCTTCAGCTCACTGAAATCATCCTCGGTGCACTGGGAGCTGGACAGGGCAGGGGCAGCACCTCACCCTTCTGGGCTTCCCCTGCACCCAGCACGGTGTGTGGCACACAGCAGGTGCACTATCAGTATTTGCTGAACGGAAGTGAAACGTGGAAAACGTGGAAACCTGTTCCACGTTTGGCATCTGGGAGACAGTAAATGAGTAATCTCTGGGCCTCAGTTTTATGGTTGAGGAATCAGTGACTCAGTCGTAGGGTTATTGTGAGGATCTAAACAAATCAGAGGATGCAGGTGAAACTGCTGAGCTGTGACCTTGGCTGTTCTCATTGCCCTGCTGTTTTTTGTAAAGCACTCCTTTTAAGCCCTAGTTTCTATGAGATGGGATGTGCTCTGTAGGAGTCACCAGAGGAGCACTGGCCTGGGTGAGTCCACCTCTCGTTTCCGCTTAGCCACTAACTTACTGTGTGTCCTTGGGCAAGAATCTCCCCTCTCTAGTCCTCTGTCTCTTTGCCTGTCAAATCAGGGGATTGAGCTGGACAACCTCCGAGCTTCCTTTCTCGGTTCACAATTCTCTGCATCTGAGACCAGAGGTGTGAGGGTGGGGAGTACAACAGGATGGATGGAGATTAGCTACAAGGGACCCTTTGCAGGCACAGCAAGAGAGAGAGGCTGCAGGCTGCTGTCTTACAGGCCTCGGGGATGCCTGTGTGAAGTCTGCCTCTGCCTGAGGACAGGCCAAGGGCTTCTGGGAACTCTTTCCGTGATTTTATAAGCAGAGGCCTCCTATTTGCTCTGGAAAGCTGCTATCCAATTACAGACTCAGTAATGCCAGAAGCTTCCAGCCAGGTGTGGCTGTGAAGACCATGACCATCAAGCAATGACTCCATGGGTTGCTCTGAAGCTCGACTTCCCTGCTCCTGGCTAACCCCGAGGCTGTGTCATCTGTAGGGTGGATATTTAGTTGTTCACTTGGCCTGGACTTAGGTGCAGATCTAGGAATGGCGGTATCTCAAAGGTATGGACTGGACCCAGTAAGAAAAAGGGTATGGTATAGGATTAGCTTTCTCATTTATTTGGCAAATCTGAACCTCAATTTTCTCAGCTGCAAAATAGGGATAACAAATGACTGAATGAGGGGTCTGTGGTAGAGCTGAATGAGGACTCTGTGGTAGAGCTGTGGCAACAAGATCTGACAGCACAGACTGCCTCAGCAGCTGCGGTGAGTGCTATGGCCAGTGACAGGCCCCCTTCCCCTCTCTGGTCCCAGCGATGGCTCTGAGACCCACAACGGTAGCTCTTGGGCACCTGCGGCAGCCCAAGTGTTCATGAAATATGGACTAGTGAGTCGGGGGAGATTCAAGCCCCAAGAGACAGAGCAGAGAAGCTGCCCTTCCTGGACTTCATAGCACAAGTCTGCTGGCTCTAAGAGGTCTAGTCAGCCAGCTCCGGGCCTGGAGACTGGGCAGCCTGCAGGGATCTATGGTCCCCTCCAACCGGAGGCTCCAGATGACTGGAAAGAAAGCACTTTGAAGTAATGCCAGGCAAGAGGAAATCAATCAGACAAACACAGTAAGGAAAGCCACCCCTTCCTCACCCGCCGGCTTCCATCATGGCCTGGCATGCAGTGCCTGGGCCCTCACAGGGCAGCATACTTCTTCGGGTTTCCAGCCACGTGACCTCATTCGCTCTTCATAATTCTCTGTATCCCAGGAGGTAAGTAGGGCATACACATCTTACAGGACAGGGAATCTGGACACAAAGAGATTAAGGGGCTTGCCCAAGCTCACACAGCCAGGTGGTGGCAAACTCAGGCCTGGAACCCAGCTCCTTGACTTGCAGCCCACATTCTCTTTCTATAACAGCTCACAGCCATGTGAGCCTGAAGCTCAGAGGCTGAGCCCTCAAACCAGGCACTTACTTGCGGTGGGTACATACAAAACCCCATCCCTCCCCAAAAAAATCTCCGTCAAGATTTAAAGGCATTTGAGCAAAAGAGGAATAACAAGGCATCAATTTCCAAAATGTGGGAAGAGTTTGGCTGACAACGGGGAAGAAATGCCACATTAGATGCTTCCCAGAAGTAACGGCAAAGAGCGGCCCGAGCAGATGGTTGGCAAGGCCTTTTGAAGGGCGTCAGGACTCGGCTGCTCTGCCCAGGCACAGGAGCGCCCACACAGGCGTGCCTGTACCGGCACGTAGTCTGGGAAGACCCAGAGGCCTTTAAGTGCAGGCTCTGCTCCAATGAGGGTGCCCTGGATGGGCTAGGAATGTGAGGCTGCAAGGATCAGCCCAGACCTGCCAAGGTCTGAGCCCTAAAGACCCCTAGAGGAAACCTGGAGATGAGAGGTTTGCCCTCATTCCTACCCCCTGTGCTCTTCCGGGGCAGGTGATGATAATGTGCTGAGAAGCCGTGGACCAGGAATAGGAAGACCCGAGTTCCCTAGATGTGTGATCCGGGCAAATTTTCAACCTGCTCTGGCCTTACTGAGCTCACCTGTGCAGAAAGGGGCCTGTGGGGAGGAGCTTCAAGCTGTGCAGTCTGTGATGTGAGCACAAAGCCCCGCCCTGCTTTCCTAAGGTGGCGCCTATGGGGATTTCTAGCTGGGAAGCAGCCAGGAAATGTGGTTCCTAAGCTCAGGACACTCAGCCTTCTGGAGCCCTCCCACTCCTGCTGCATCCTCACTTCTTCCCAGTAATGAGCCAGGCTGGGGCACATCCTGCCACTTCCAGGAACCACCTCCCTGTCTTCCTCCCCTGCCCACCCCAATGCATCTGCATCCAGAGACAAGTGCTGGCCCAGGACCTCCCAGAATCAGCTTCCCGGGCACCCCAGCCTTCTTCCCACAAGACACACCCCGCCCCAGGCCCAGTAGAGGGTCCACACCCTGAGCAAGGACGACCCTTTGCCGCCCTAGTCCAGCCTGGGGCCCGAGTGCTCCTTCCTGTGAAGCCTGAGGTCTTGGAGCCCTGGGAAGCAGCTCACTTTGCAGAACAGGCAGTCTAATATGGCCAGTAGGGGCCTCTGTGCCGACTTGATAACCATGCCCCTTTTTATCTGGTGAGACACAGCCCTGCGCCAGGTATGAGGCTCAGTGAGCAGAAGGTGGGCTGAGTTTCAGGTTCTAGATGCCCTCGTGTAGGACATAGTTGGCAGGACTATCCCAGGGAGGAAGGGTGTCCGGTCCTTGCCTGGGCTGGCTGGAGTAAGGCGAGAAGCACCCAGTCTGCTCTGTGGCCAAACCCAGAGCTCTTGGAGCCCTAGGCAAGAAGCCATGAGAAAGCAAGTTTTGTTCTATGCACACATTTGTGTGTGTGTGTGTGTGTGTGTGTGTGTGTGTGGGAGGGGGTTGCTGTGGGGAAGAGGGGAGTTGTGTATATGCAGGATATGTGTGAGGAGTGTGTATGCATGTGTGGGTGTGGGAGTGGGTGTGTGCGTAAAAGGAGGTATGGGTGGGGGAGGGTGGGGGAGGTGTGCGTCAGTTTAAACTGGAGCTATGTGTTCTAAGGCCAATTGTGAGAAAGAAAGGGGTTGGGCTCTGCACCCTGGAAACTTTACTCGTTTGGGGTACCACAGATAACTGAGGGTGTCTGACGCCCTTCCCCCAACTGTCCTGGTCTCCTCAGGGTGCTGAGGTCAGCACCGCCCCAGGCGCCAGCAGCCCAGTTCTAGCTCTTGTTTTTAACGCAGGCTGCTTTTGCCAGCAGCTGCATTTACAGTCTGGACTCAGGAAAGCAGAAAACAAACTGGCCTGCAAAGCCACTCCTGGGGCCATCATTTCTCCCAGAGGTAGGGGGACCTGGTGCTTAGTCAATGTGGGATGGGAGGCATTAGGAAGTGCAGGCAAGAACACCAAGGGCCTAATTTGCTTAAGGCAGTCACTGGGGTCCAAAGACAAAGGCAGGAGAGAGGTAGTGAAACCCCGTCTCTACTAAAAATACAAAAATTAGCTGGGTGTGGTGGCGCATGCCTGTCGTCCCAGCTACTCAGGAGGCTGAGGCAGGAGAATCGCTTGAACTCAGGAGGCAGAGGTTGCAGTGAGCCGAGATTACGCCATTGCAGTCCAGCTTGGTGACAGAGCGAGACTCCGTCTCAAAACAACAACAACAGCAACAACAACAACAACAACAAAAACAGAAATAGGAAAAGAATAGAATAGGATAGGAACTGAGGAAGGCAGGAGTCCCTGGGAACCAGCCTGCCACATACAGGTGCACAGGCTGTGCACTGCACAACTACAAGGGAAACTATTCACACAGATTACTCTGGGATTGTATGATAGGTGGTGCCAACTGACAGGGAGGGAGGGAGGAAGGTAGCTCATGGTGATCCAGACCCAGGGCTATGGCCCGTGTTTTCATATGGTCTATAGACCTCACAAGACGGCTGTGTGGTACATATCATTACCCCTTGTTACACATGGGGACACTGAAAATGTGACCTGTTGAGACACACACAGGTTCTAAAGCCCAGAACTCTGAATTCCTAGTACAGTGTCCTTGGAAACCGCAGAGGCTGGAGTCCTCTCTGGACCCGCTGGTCAGGCTACACTGGCCTTGCAGGTGCACATGTGACGTCCCCCAGGGAGTTCACACTGGGAAGGGGTGGCTTTCCCCAGCCTTCCTGGAGGAGTCCTGAGCTGCCTGAGTGAAACAGCAAATCCCCTTCAGGCTTAAACGCAGGGTAAACCCCAGATGAACCACTTGGGGTTGGGAATAGGTGGGTTAGGAGAAAGGGGGTGCTCCGGCAAACAAACCAAAGCAAGACAGAAAAACCACCCGTGCTGTCCCTCCACAGGGCCCTTAACAGGGAGCCAGGTGCTTACAGCGTGCGTGCTGGCTGGAAGGAGGGAGGCTCAGACATCCCTATTTTCCCAGGCCAGGGGTTCCAGCTCCCTATCACCTCCACCATACAGCCCAGAGATAGGGAGCCAGGAGATCAAGTCTTCCAAGACCCCCTTCCCAGGTGACACTGTGATGTCCCAGAATTCACAGGCCACCAATTACAGGAACTGCTAACACAGTTTCCCAAGTCCCTCCTGACTCAGTTGCTTCATTTCCCCTCTTCTTCCCAGGTCTCACCTCCTAAGCAAAGCAAGAGGTGGTAAGGAGGAAGGGCAGGGCTTTCCTCTCAGGATGTTCAGCCTCCCCACTCCCTCCCACCTGCTACAGGATGAGGACTCCAGGCTGTGTCTTCCCTGGAGGGCTGACTCGGGTTAACCTGGCCCTTGAGCAGGCTGCTGACCTGGAGGGCCTCTCTCACTGTCTTCCCTTTCCACTCCCAGCCATGGCAGCTCACACACAGGCATAGTGTAGCCTCAAAGAGCCGAGCCTGGCCCTGCACCACACACCTGCCCTCATCAGAAGAGAGCTGCTTTCTGCAGAGAGGACACCAAGGCAGCTCACAGGAGCACTGGACAGAAGCCCAGGTCTGGCACTAGTGGCCTGCACCTGGGCCAAGGGCCTGCACCACTTGGGCCTCGTCAATACACAACTGCAGGAGCACTGGCCTGTCACACCATGAGGCTGTGACCTCTCCTCTGAGGGGTCTGGGGTGAGCAGTGCTGGCCTGGGCAGGCCATGCTCTTGCAGAAAGAGCAAAGGTTTCTGGGCCCCACTATTGTGGCACAGACATGGGCAGGGCAGATCTGTGTCCCAGCCAGAGCCACAGAGCACAGAGGGTGAAGGCACATGCAGACAGTCACCTACCTAGGTCCATTCAGGCAAGAGTTCTAGCTGCTTCCCAGAGAACCCCAGCAGTTCAAAGCCCTTCCTTACCCATAGGCTGACTTCTGAGTGCTGATGTGGCTCCAGCCCTGGCAACTAGCTCCAATATTGGGGTGGGCATGGCGTCATCTGATTTTCTTGCCAGAGATACAACACATGGCACAGAGAGGGTAGTGGGCTATACAGGACACTCAGCAAACTGTGCCAGGACAGGCTGGGGGTGGGGGCCCAGAGCAGTTGTTTTTAGCTTTTGATAGCATCTGCCTAGCATTTTAGAGTTAGAAAAAAGAAAACAGGCTGGGTGCGGTGGTTCCCGCCTGTAATCCCCAACACTTTGGGAGGCCAAGGTAGGTGGATTACGAGGTCAGGAGATCGAGACCATTCTGGCCAACATGGTAAAACTCCGTCTCTACTAAAAATACAAAAAATTAGCTGGGTGTGGTGGTGCACGCCTGTAATCCCAGCTACTTGGGAGGCTGAGGCAGGAGAATCGCTTGAACCCGGGAGGCAGAGGTTGCGGTGAGCTGAGATCGTGCCACTGCACTCCAGCCTGGCAACAGACTGAGACTCTGTCTCAAAAAAAAAAAAAAAAAGAAAACAACGATGATGATGATGATCATCTATAATCCCTCATGGTTACTAGGTACTTGCTATGTGCCAACCAGAAAAGGCTTTTTATCTTAAGCATTTCTTTTAATCTTCAAACAACTCTGTAAGATGGATAATACTATTCCCACCCCACCCGCCCCCACCGCCCCACACCATTTTTCAGACAAAGTAACTGAAATAAAGAAACCTGCTGAGGGTCACTGTGCTATGAAGTGGCAGAGGCAGGCTTAGAACCCTGCCAGCCTGACTCCAGAGTTCTGTCTTCTAACCACCATACCAGGCAACCTCCTTTAATGAGCAATTATCCTGTATTTATCTGTAGTGAACAGTTTTTGAAGTGCTTTCACTACCTGGTTCCCTCCTCTTATGACCCAGGGCACTGATACCATTGAGCTGAATTTCTCTGTATGCATTTGGCTGCCCTGCAGAGCTGCAAGCTCCCCAGGAACTTAAGAAGCAAGCCAGGATCAGGGCCATGGAAGGTGCCCCTTGTAGCATGAATAAACCCAACGAGGTAAGACTGATATTGATGTCTTCATTTTACAGATGAGAAGACTGAGGCCAGCTATCTCCTGAGCTACGGTGGACCTGAATTCCCCTCTCCCGACCCCTGCCAACCCCGGCCTAGGACTGCCCCAGGTAAAATGATCCCACACAGCACAGGAGAAGTGCCGGCTCACCAAGGGACAGCATGGCCCTGGGTGCTTCTCTTCTGGTATGTAAGAGACTGAACGTGCCAGAACCATGGAGCCCACAGCCAACACCCCTCAGGCAGGTTGCTTACCCCGGCTGATCCTCTGCTTCTCCCCAGAGAGGATCCCTGGTGTGTCGATGACGCTGATGCTCTCCAGCACAGGGTTAGGTAGCTGGGCACACACGAACCTGCATGGGCAGAGGTAACCTGGGTGAGTACTCGCCCACCTTTCATGACCTAGCCGCATGACTCCAACCACCTGTCTTGTCTCTCTCAGGTGAGCTGCAGGTGCATCCTGAAGGGTTTAGTTCACCATGGACTTGCCCAGTTCAGGGTGTGGCTGACAGCTGACCCGGGGCTGAACCCCAGTCCTCTTGCCTCTCCCCACATCCAGTGTTAAGAGCGCCCTGCACCCGGGTGTGTTTGGTAAAATGCTGTGTGACCAGCAAGCAGGGCTACTCCATAGCGACATTGGGTCTTCATGTGTGATCAAAGCCTGGGTTTAATTCTTATGGCCCCAAGTCCTTAGTTTGTCCTTGGTCAGCTACCTCCTTGCCTTGAGTTACTCCACTTAGCTTGGCCCTCTCTAGGAACCTTAGCTTCTTTAGATAGCCAATGAGAAGACCCCCTGGCTCCTCTTCAAATGAGCCCCTAGGGACTAGCGGGGCAGGAGGGACTTCAAGGGTCTGTCCCAAACCATCACTGCAGAGTCAGGGTCTGGGGAGCCTCCTTCTGATTTGATCCTTGTGGGCCAAGTGGCTGTGCTTCTCTGTTTATGTCCTCATTTGTAAATGGGGTATCATTCAACAGTAACTGAGGCCCTACTCTGTGCAAGATAACAGGCTGGGTGCTATGGCCAGAGGATCACAAGCCTGGCTGGCTTAAAATGGAGACTCCCAGGAGCCAGGCCAGAATCCCAGCCCCAGCCCCAGAAGTGGGTCTCACTCAGGCTCTATGCCTTGAGGAAGCTCCCTGGATGATTGTGAGGCAGCCATGGTTCATGCTTGCCAACTCCTGCTGTTGGGGACACTAAGATATCCAAACCTCGATCCCTGTCTCCAAGGAGCACAGCCTGGTGCAGGACAGGAGGCCAGGAGGCCTGTACATGGACAAGCAGAATACACAGTGCAATGGGACCAGCACCCTGAGAGAAGTCAGATGTAGTGTTTGGAAGATTCAAGGCAGAGAGATGGCTTCCTGGAGGCAGAGGGAGGGCTTCCTGGAGGAGGAGGCACTGGAGCTGGCCTCGAAGAATGGGAACCACCCAGGAACATTTATTTGGGCATTTAAAGGCCAAATATCTCTATTAGGAAAGCAGTCAAGTGTTATTTAAGAGAAGCGAGGGAAGGGGAGCAGACAAGGGGTGTGAAATAGGACCACTCAGCAGCATAGAGACAGGAACCTGGAAATCTAAGGTGCAGCACCTTGTGCGGACAAATCTAAGGTGCAGCACCTTGTGTGGACTGCAGTGAAGCTGGTGGCACATGCAAGAGGGATGCAACATCATTCCCTGTTGTCGTTTCAATGGACATGCCTGGCAGACTCCCAGCCAACCTAAACATCCACTACTTCAGCGGCTGCGTGCTCCTGGAGAAAATCTCAGAACCTCACGATTTCATAGGTGCCTGCAGTAAGCCACATTCTTTCATCATTCTTCTCTGGTGATGCATATTTTCTCCTCTTTCTCTCTTCAGTATTTTCTGCTGGGAATGTCCTCTTTTTTTTACACTGTTGGTGCCACTTCACTCATCATTTAATGTCAGGGTCAAATGCCAACTTTCCCACAAAGGCCTCGTCAGGCCTGCTCTTCCTCTTGCCTGGGTTATCACTGGCTCTTTCCAAGCCTGTGCCCACTGGACTGGATCAGCCTTATATTCCCCCACAGAATAGAGCCCAAGGCCGCTAGGGGCCTGGTGTCTGTTGAAATAAAACACGAATTCTATCCCTTAGTAAGATACCTGGGAAGGAGGCAGGAGACACAGCCCCTCCTGTGGCCACATTTCTTTCCTTGTCAATGTCTGCTCTCCAGGCCAGACACCAAGTCACTCTGGAAATGCAGGATCTTGCCTCAGTCACCTTCATTTTATTCATTGAAATCACAGATTTAGAGAGAGATTCCTGACCCCTTAATAGTATCACCTTTTATGTGCATGTTATTTGTTTCACAACACCTTCCTATATATTTTCTTTATAATTTTTTTTTTTGTAAAATATATGCACATGGTAAAAAACAAACAAACAAAAAACAAAACAAAACAAAAAACCAAAACATGGTCCAGCAAGGCATAAAATGAAATAGGAAGGTGTTCCTCTTCTCTATCCTTCTGCCCTGCTCAATTCCACTTCCTAAATGGAACCACTGTAGGCCGGTTACAGGCTCACACCTGTAAACCCAGCACTTTGGGAGGCCAAGGTGGGCGGATCACTTGAGGCCAGGAGTTTGTGACCAGCCTGGCCAACATGGTGAAACCCTGTCTCTACTAAAAATACAAAAATTAGCCAGGCGTGGTGGCGCATGCCTGTAACCCCAGCTATTCAGGAGGCTGAGGCGGGAAAATTGCCTGAACCCAGGAGATGGAGGCTAAAGTGAGCTGAGATCATGCCACTGCACTTCAGCCTGGGCGACAGAGCAAGACCTCGTCTCAAAAAAAAAAAAAAGGTAACCACTGTAAAGATTTATATATTTTTTCCTTTCTCTCTCAGATCTTCTTCACACAACACACAACATTTGCAGGAATGGATTATTTACATTTTATCACTTTCTAGATGAAGATAATAATATTCAAAGAGGTGTCTTTACTCAAAGTAAACCACCCCCACCCAACCTCACCCACACCACCTGGTTTCAATACATTTAACAATGGAGTTAATGAGACTTGCTGGGTTTGATTAATGACATAAGGGCGCTCAGCTCTCAGGAATGCACCCAGCATATGATGGCAATCACTTAAATTCTGTTATCATAATAGGCTATATGCTATTACATATAATACAATACACTATATCATTATAAGCACAATTATCCCAAAATGGCATTAACCACTAAACCTGTACTCTTCTCTTGTGATGAGCCCAGTTTCCTCTTGTCTCCCCCTGGCTTTTCCCTCCTCTCCCCTGGGGTCCAGCTCCTCCTCTCTGCCTTCAGATAGGACGATGCTCCTCAGCTGACTCACTAACACTGCAAACTCAATGTGTCCAAAATCAAATTCCTTGCCTACCCCCTTGCTCAGATATCCCTGCTTCTCTTCAGCTCCAGCGACTCATTCTCCTGAATCATGCTCATCCCACCCCCTCCATTTATGCATTTTAGCATTTTGGGCATCCAGGACCTCCTTACTCAGTTCCAGGTATAAGAGACACCCCTGGACTCCAGGACACCTGCCCCACTGCACCTTACCACCACGACCTCCTCATTCTTCCTAAAGGGACCTCAGCTTCATTCCCAACATAAACCAAGCCCCATGCCTGGGCCTCTCTCTCTGCCAGGCCAAGTTCCCAAGATTTCTCAGCGTGACCCTTCCTCTGCTCCCTACTCTGGGCGCACACCTTGGCCACTCACAGTTCCACATTTCATTCATGTCGTGGTCTCCCTGTCCCTGTCTTAGACTGTTATTGACTCCATGCCACTACAAGAAAGGTCAGAGACAAGTTCATAGGTTTATAAAAAATATTATTTGGGGCCAGGCACGGTGGCTCACGCCTGTAATCCCAGCACTTTGGGAGGCTGAGGCAGGTCAATCACCTGAGGTTGGGAGTTCGAGACCAGCCTGACAAACATGGAGAAACCCTGTCTCTACTAAAAAAAAAAAAAAAAAAAAAAAAACACAAAATTAGTCGGGCGTGGTGGCACATGCCTGTAATCCCAGCTACTCGGGAGGCTGAGGCAGGAGAATTGCTTGAACCTGGGAGGCAGAGTTTGCGATGAGCTGAGATCGCGCCATTGCACTCCAGCTTGGGCAACAAGAGTGAAACTCCATCTCATCAAAAAAAAAAAAAAAAAAAAAATATATATATATATATATATATATATTTGGGATAAGAGACATCGAGAATCCTTTGGGCAATGAGCCTCAACTTCTACAATGAAAAATGGCCACAGCAGATGCCTATTCCATTCACTAAACAATTAAGTAATCAAATGAAATAAGACATAGTAACACTATCACTAACTAACCTGTTGGTTACTATGTGCCAGGCACGAAGTGTTTTCTGTTCACTATCCCACTTATTTCTCCTTTAACTCCTATTATCCTATTTACAGATGGGAAAAATTAGAAACAAGTAAGTTTTGTAACTTGTTCAAGAGCCACAGTATTAGGCAGGATTTGAACCCAGGTCTATCTGAAGGCAAAGCCCATATTCATTACCTCTACTCTAAAAACCTCCAATTAGAAAAAGTAGTTTTAAAATTATTTTCAAAGTATTTACCATGCACATGTGAAACTGGATTTATCAGTGTAATAAGTGTGAGCAGGGGATCAGCCTGCATTCTGGTTAAACAGAATAATTAATGTGAAGGCCCAGATTAGTTTGCCAAGCATTCCTAGAGCTTTCTCCATTCACATCATCATGATGATCTTGGTATCTGCAAGGCTGAACTTGTCCCGGGGGAAGAGAGGTGACCTGTGCAAGGTCATTCAATTTAGTAGAAGAGTTAGTGCTCAAACCCAAGGCTTCCCTCTTAATTCCAGGGTTCTTCCCACCAGGTAGAAACAATATCCGTGAATAGAAAAGAACCTTCGTCTGCCTCCTTCCAGTTGGATGCAAATCCCAGCCACTGAATATTTAGGCAAATACTGGGAACTATATGGAGCATCCTCCTCCACTTTTACTAGGGGTAGGTGCAGGGTAGGGGAATGTGACCTGAGTCATTGTTGTATCCTTCCCTGCTCCCTGATAAGGAGGAATCAACCCAGCATTTGCAGCTGCTGCATCTCACAACTGACTCAGTTACACTCTCAGCAAGCAAGGGACAATCTAGGTATGGAAAGATTGACAGGAGACTCTAGGCACCAAGCATCCCAAGACCCTGCCTACTGTTCTTTCACTCCCCATACCCCAAGAAGAAAAGAGAGCACCTGAAAGTGTTGTGTTCCCTCCACACTCACCTGTTCAAGAAGGCGTTGCCAAAGGCGTTGAGTTTCCTGAAGGGTTTCTTGGGATCCACCACCAGGGCGTTCCCAGGGATGATCCCCTCCATGTCTCCCTGCATCACCGCAATGAAGGAGTCTGTGGTGGGCTCAGGCCCAATCCTCATGCCTGGGAAGTCCTGTTCCAGCAGGTACCTAGCAGGAAGAAGCACAGTCCTAATGCAGGCGTTCTGCGCAAAGATCAACACGGCATGTCTACTATAAGGCAGACAACATGCGAGTCAGAGGGGAGGGCAGGGCCACCGCAGCAAGATCTCATGGCCGGGAGAAATGCCTGCTGGATAACAAGTCCAAAGAACTTTGTAGAGGAGGTGGAATTTCAGCTGAACTTAAAATATTCTGTTTTTTGGTCCTTATCTTTTTCCCTTTCTCAATTGGTTGGGGGCTGGTGGGCGGGGGTAGAAGGAGCAAGGTTTGGGCTCAAAAACAAAGCATGGATTGAAATGATTCTTACACAGAGTATTACAGACTCCATAACTGAAGGTAACCTGCTGAAGTACCCACACAAAGGCATGGTTAGAACTAAACCTTCCGTAGACTCTGCTGGGTTTTCATAGGTCTTTATTTAACCGGTTAGTTCTTTAATATAAAAATAGCTCATATATGATACAAAATACAAACAATATAAAAGGTACACTATGAAAAATGAATCTCTGGCCAGGCGCGGTGGCTCACGCCTATAATCCCAGCACTTTGGGAGGCCAAGGTGGGCAGATCACAAGGTCAGGAGTTCAAGACCAGCCTGGCCAACATGGTGAAACCTGTCTCTACTAAAAATACAAAAATTAGCTGGGCATGGTGGCAGGTGCCTGTAATCCCAGCTACTAGGGAGGCTGAGGCAGGAGAATCATTTGAACCCGGGAGGCAGAGGTCGCAGTGAGCCAAGATCACACCATTGCACTACAGCCTGGGCAACAAGAACGAAACTCTGTCTCAAAAAAAAAAAAAGAAAGAAAGAAAGAAAGAAAGAAAGAAAGAAAGAAAGAAAAATGAATCTCCATCCTATCCTACCCTCTAGTATCTGTATTTTGTATCCTGTATTCTTCCAGAAATGTCCCATGCACACAAGTACTATGTTATTAAGTGTTCATGCAGATCTACACATTTATGATCTTATTTATTTATCTTGCTGACATGGAGTGTCATTCCGTCGCCCAGGCTGGAGTGTAGTGGCGTGTTCTTAGCTCACCACAACCTCCACCTCCCAGGTTCAAGTGAGACTCCTGCCTCAGCCTCTGAAGTAGCTGGAATTACAGGTGCCTGCCACCATGCCTGGCTAATTTTTTTGTATTTTTGTAAAGACGGGGCTTCCCCATATTGGCCAATCTGGTCTTGAGCTGCTGACGTCAGGTGATCCGCCTGCCTTGGCCTCTCAAAGTGCTGGGATTACAGGTGTGAGGCATTGTGCCTGACCTGATTTTATTTATTTATTTATTTATTTATTATTTGAGACGGAGTTTCACTCTTGTTGCCCAGGCTAGAGTGCAATGGCATGATCTCAGCTCACTGCAACCTCCGCCTCCCAGGTTCAAGTGATGCTTCTGCCTCAGCCTCCCGAGTAGCTGGGATTACAGGCAGCCGCCACCACGCCCGGCTAATTTTTTGTATTTTTAGTAGATACGGGGTTTCACCATGTTGGCCAGGCTGGTCTCGAACTCCCGACCTCAGGTGATCCACCTGCCTCGGCCTATCCCAAAGTGCTGGGATTACAGGCATGAGCCACCATACCCAGCCACCTGATCTTATTTTTTAGCATAGAAGCAACCTGCACACC
Organism: Homo sapiens; assembly: GCF_000001405.40. NCBI lineage: Eukaryota > Metazoa > Chordata > Mammalia > Primates > Hominidae > Homo > Homo sapiens. The sequence goes on along the minus strand of NC_000002.12, from coordinate 31,242,634 downwards.
TTTCATTCTATCTTTCTTGTCATTATCCATTTAATTCCAACTTTCAAAGAAGAGACTACATTCAAAATGCCTTGTATAGTACCTGGCAAAATAGGTATGTTCAGCAAATGAGTCCTCCCTTGTGCCCTTGGGTATTAGGCAATTTCATTACGAATGTAATAGTATATGGTGGGATTCCCAGATAAAGATTATAATTGTGCTATGTTTTTAAATGTGTTTGGTGTTTTACCTGCACTACCTAAACAGGTGTCAAAAAGTTACCTTCTATCTGTCAATGCCTTCCTTCTGTACCCAACACCCACACACACACCCCTCCCCACAACGTGTGCATGCTTTGTAACCATGAAGGATGTTGTAATGTGCACAGGTGGACTGCAGCAGCAGGCCTGGTCTGCACAGAGGGGTGGTGGCCAGGGAGGCTTGCCAGGGCTTCCTCCCACTCATCAACATCCCATTTGTGCCTTTGAGCAGCGTTCTGAGCTGTGAATTTACTCTGCAGTTCCATGGTAGTTAAAGTCAGGTTGCTGTGGGCTCCGTCCCCAAGGAGGAGCCTCGGCAGCCAGCCCTGGAGGAAGCTGCTGATCTGCTGAGAGTTGGAGCCCTCCTGTCCAAAGGCCACCCGCCACACAGGGCACAGATGGGTTTCAGGTTGTCTTGGGAAGCCCCTCATCTCTCCAGATCCCAGTTCAATAATCAGAGTGAGAGGGCAGGATTTCCCCTGGTCAGAGGATCACTTTGAAAGCTGGCACCGAGGTTGTGATGAGAGTGAATCCTAACAGCTGCACCCTTGGCTAGCACTTCCTGCCTTCTCAGAATACCTTCTCCTTCAGGGCCTCCTGGGAGAAGCTGTGAATCTCAGTGGCCTGGGGCCAGCCAACCTGCTTTCTCTAACATTGAGGGCTATGCTCTTCAGGGGGTACTTAACTCAGGGAACCTCAGTACCTCACTCCATAACATGGCGGGTAATCGTTCAGACTGACTGAGTACCTGCGATGTGCCGGACGTTGTTCTAAATTTTCCATGGATTATCTCGTTTCACCTTCCCACATACTATGATATCAGCACTATGCTCTTCCTCATCAAATGGACCTAATAAGAAAACCTATCTCACAGGGAGTTCTGGGGATTAAATTCATTGCAGAAGTTAAGCATTTAACCAGTACCTTAAATTACCTAGATTATCATTCCATTTGAAGGAGGAGGAGATAAAGGTGCCCCAGGTGATGCACTCAGTAAACAGTAACAGGGTTAGGATTTGAACCTGGCCCTTGGATTTGAGTTCACGCTCCTAACCACTACACTCACCTTTCCTGCCTTGACCAGGAAATGCAGCCATCTTTAGGGACAGGCCAAAAGGGTTGAGCTCCCTTTTAGAACGATGAATGGGACAAGAAGGCCACAAAGAAATATGGTTTGGCAGGAGGCAGGCAGGGCCAGGCCTTGGAGGAGAGGTGAGGCTTTGAGGCCCACAAACGCAGGAGTGTACTCATCTCTGTAAATATCAGCTGTGGGGTTCCCTGCTTGGCCTCAGTGACTGGGGTGTGGCATCCCAAAGCTGCTGCTATCATATGATCAGAGCAGGTCCCTGGCTCCATGGGCTCTAAAAGGACACTTTTGGATTTACAAACAGTCGGCCAAGATTACCCTTCACGAGAAAGATTCCACCCTGATTGGGAAACCCCATCTATCTTTGCCTGCCCAGGCACCTGACCTAGTGAGTGTGTGGATGAGAAGCCCTAAGCAGGGCTCTGCAAGGGAGCAGCAACAGTGGATTGCGGGAAGTAGGGATCATCAAAGGCTCCAGGGACAGCTGAAATAGAGAGGGCTGAAAAGAACCATTCTGAGGCAGCCTCAAAAATGCCCAGAATGAACAGGGCCAAACAGCAGCAATGAAGGATCCTTCTCACACAGGCGTCTCAAATTCTACCCCTGAGAGGGACGTGGTGTTCTCAGCAGATGAGTGAAGGCTTCCCAGCCTAGCAGGGTGGCTTCCGGGGAAGTTACAGGGCTGCAGCCCGAGGTGGTCAGGCAAGGGCCTAGAGTTTGTCCTGCTAAACCCACATGACCCAAAACTTGCTGACCACACATGGGTCTGGGGAAACACTGAGTCTAATGAGGCCACCAGCAAGTCCAGGCAGCACAGTCGGGTGGGGTAAATTCTCAGGGACATTTGGGTATGGCTTACAGCAGCAGGTGCCCCTGTAACAAAGCCACCACTGTGTCCAGAAAGGAAAAATCTATTGAGGAATCTCATGCACTGATTCTTTATGGGAAGCGATACAGATTGCCTCTGTTGCCAGGAGAAAACATTCCCACAGCAGTGTGAAAAAAGAAAAGTTAATTCAGGCCAGGGTGGGAACAGCAGAGACGGGGATGCACAAGAATGAGGGGAGACAGGACAGACTGAGTCCAGGATGATAATACTTGCCCTGTCGGCCTCATGGGGTTTGAGGGAGTCTGTAACGCATCCCACAGACACAAGCGAGAAAGTGGATGGGAGACTCTCCACGGCCAAGTTGAGGCATGAGTCAGCTCCGTGTTCCCTGGAGCAGCTATAATTGGCCCTGTCGAAAGCACCCTCAGCCATGTGATGAAGGGATTCCAGCACGAAGGAGAATCTGGTGGCCAGACAGTCCAGCCTCCTTGCGACAGGCCAGCCCGCCCAGGGCACTACCCGGCACCGTCCCCAGAGCTCAGCGACGTGCCCCTTCTCCAGCCCTCCCCTTCGTGCTGGAGAAGGGCCTTCCCGCACCTTCCTGAGAGCCTGCCTCTAAGTCTCCTGTTAGAGTCAGCTCGAGAGAGGAGAGGAAATGATAAAGCCCCATGCGCGGTGCCTGGAGCACAGCTGGTGCTAAACTGGTTCTGCCTCCCCCTCCCCACCCCGAATCCGGTCAGTAATGCTGTGAGGCGGTTATTACTATTCGCATCTTATGGATAAGGAAACTGCGGGTCAGAAAGGGGAGGTGGCCTGACCTCTGTCAGACCTTCCTAACCAGGTCCCTGGGCAGGAAGTGGTGGAGCTGGATTCTGCTGACTTGGACTGTGTTCCATGGCCTTCGTCCCACTGTCAATGGGAATGGGAGGGAGACCTTTCCCCAAAGGTCTTTCTCCTCCCAGTAAATGTTTTGCCTGATGACTGCCAGGCACCTGACTTTCAAGGCAGCCCCTAAGCCAGGCCGAGGCACGCGGACACAGTTCCTCTGGCCTAAGGCCTTCTGCTTCCTTGTGTAACACTTAGGCCTTGTAAGAAGCAGGTGGATTTTCACCCAGGCCCCTTTAGAGACCCAGCAGATCAGAACCCTATCAGACAAAGGACATCCCCTGGCCTTGGTGGGTGGACAGGGCTGAAGGTGGTGCAGGGGCTATGCCTGCCAGGATGGACTTTGCAGTGAGTGGGTCTACTGGGGTGGTGGCCCTCTCACTCTATCCCTTTGGCTTTCTGGAGAACCATCTTTCCCGGCGCAGTGGCGCTGTAATGCCTGGGGTGGGGATGTCAGGGTGGTGATGAGAGCTGGTGCGGCCACAGCAAATGCGAAGGCACCTTTGGGGTGGGAGGTTGCAGAGTCTCCTGAAGTGGGAGAAGCTGAAAGGGCCAGCTCAGTAGCCCTCACGATGGACTCCCATCCCAGCAGCCCTACCAAGTGCTCATGCCTCAAGAGTCCAAGTCACACGATAGAAGGTCCGTGCAACCCTCCAGACCAGCCCAGCCTCCCCAAGGAGCCCGGGGCAGCTTAGCTCTGCAGCCCCAGGCCCCACAGCCAATCCACTAGAGCCTCTCTCTCAGCTCTGCCAAGGTCCAGGGAGGCCTCCCTCATGGCCCATGGAAGTACTCAGGCCTTCCTCAGCCCCTGGAGCAGCCAGCTACTCACCTCCACTACCTGCAGAATAAGGGGCCACAGAAGTAGGCAGCGAGAAGGAGTGACCAGGGGCCAGATGGTCCAAGGAAGGAGGGATTCAAGGCTGCATGCCGGGCAGAGAAATAGCAAAGGGAGAAGAATAGCAGAGGCAGGAGGAAAGGCTGCCAGGGCCAGAGGGACACAGAGCTACTGTACTCCAAAGAGGCAGCCTGTGTTGGAGAGGGCAGCCGCCAAGCCAATTTACTGTTCATTTTATTACTCTGTGTTGCCGGGCCTTAGGCCGGGGAAGTTATTTCAGGCAGAGATCACAGCACATTAACTAGTTATTAAAAGAATGTCCTTTTCTGTGTGTTCTTCCTCAGACAAGAAATAGACGCTGTGGCAAGCACATATTACTGAAAGTGGATGGACCCTCAGGGGCAAAACGCCAAGAACTGGGGGAATAAAGAGGCAAATCTTTGTTTCTGAGGAAAAGGCCCCTCACAGGTTCAGGCCTGGCATGGAGACAAGAATCAAGGCAAGAAGCAGGGATGGGAGAAGGGAGAGGAGGAGGCCTTCTGAGACCTAGGCATGGACGCACTTATCCACCCCAGAGCAGCCTTACTCGCAATGGGGAAGGGATGCAGTGTCAACTCACCCTCTCGGAAAACAACTGCAAAATATGACTCTTAGTACAAAAATTTTAAAGTTAAAAAATATTTTAAACAAAACCCTGCCCAACCTTTGGCCTAGCAATTCCACTTCTGGGAATCTCAAAAAAACAAAAACAAAAACAAACAAAAAAAACACACACACACAATATAGGAAAAAATATTATACACAGAGATATTCAGAATTATTCTACAATAACAAAAAATTAGAAATAGCCTAAAACATCCAAGAGAAGTAGATTAAGTGAAGAATCGTATATACACACAATGGAATAGTATGCAGCTGTTAAAAACAATGCTATTCATTAGTTGAATGAATAATTGTATATACAAATAGTGAAATAGTATGCAGTTGTTAAAAATAATGCTGACAAATAACGCTTATAACATAGGAAATGTTCATGCTATAAGTAAGAAAAACTGGCCAGACGCAGTGGTTCACGTCTGTAATCCCCAGCACTTTGGGAGGCTGAGGTGGGTGGATCCCCTGAGGTCAGGAGTTCAAGACCAGTCTGCCTAACATGGCAAAACCCCATCTCTACTTAAAATACAAAAATTGGCCAGGCGTGTTGGCGGGTGCCCGTAACCCCAGCTACTTGGGAGGCTGAGGCAGGAGAACTGCTTGAACACAGGAGGCGGAGGTTGCACTGAGCCGAGATTGTGCCATTGTACTCCAGCCTGGGTGACACAGTGAGACTCCATCTCAAAAACAAAAACAAAAATAAACAAGCCAGCATACAAAATTATATGTATAGCATGATCTCAACTGTGCTATAAAATAGCTACAAATACTGGAAATATATTTATATATAAATTATATGCTTTATATATAAATATATTTTATATGTAAATTAAAATAGCTTCTCCTAAGTCATGGGATTATGGGTGACTTTTTTTCTTCTTTAAATTTATTCTTTTCTATATTTTCCAATTAAAAACAACTGTTTACTGGATTTTATGAGAAAGAAGAAAAGTACATGATTTGGTTCTGGAGGGTTCCCTGTGGTATGACCCCTCCTACAGCGCTGGCTGACACTCCCTCAAGGGGAGACAGCTTTTGACGCATGAGCTAAATTCAGTTGCTGACATGAGTGGGGAGAGGGAACTACTGCACATGGAGGATAAGAAAGAAGAGCGATCTGCCTCTCCCGGTCTTACTGTCTCCCTCAGATGAGGAATCATCTGTGGCAATTTGACTCTGCCACTTTCTTAGACCCAGTTAACAGCCAGTGATGACTTAGGCAAAGCCGGGAGAGTGTCTCAGACAAAAGGCGCTCAAACCTGTCTGCTGCTTGGGGATCCTCACCTCTCCCCATCTTCCCTCCCATTCTGCAAAATGTCTACTGGGAACCTCCTATAGCCGAGACCCTGGGCAAGGCCCCAGAGATGCTAAGGCATGGATGTTGTCTTGTCAATGATTGTACACCAGGAAGGAGAAGCTACAGATAATGTATGAAAGGTTATAAATACCATATGTGTAGAGAGCCAGGGAAGGCTGAGAGGGCAAGGGCCATCTGCAAATGGCCTGAACTTCCCCTGAGGCATGAATGGGCCAAGTGGAGGCCAGGGCTCACAAAGGAAACTCTGCAGGCAACCCAGGCAGCTCTGAAGTGCCTTTGGCAGCAATGGGTGCTTAATAAAACAAGAAGCATGGCTTAGATCAGGGGTTCCCACCCTAAAGTCCAAAGAAGGCCCTTGGACCCCCAACATTATATGCAAATTTGGGATGTACGTACATTTTTCTAAAGATAGAAAGTTAAGAAGCAATGGATTAGTTTAATCTCTAAGGCCTCTTGCAGTTCTATCAATATAAAACATACAAGAGCCAACAGGCCCATCACCTCCCAAACTCCTTCAGAAATCACTTGGCCTCTTAAAGCTGCTGAGCCCTAGGCTGTGCACTCCACAAGGACAAACTCAATGTGGTGTTGTGTTTAGACATGACCTATTAGCATGGTGCTACTTCCAGAAGGCTGGCGTTACAAGGTGGATGTTAGAGAAAATTAGTACCTAGAAAATTAGTAACTAGACTGTTAACTTTTCTGCACTCCTCACCAAACAAAGCACAGCATTTCACATGCTGTGGATGCTCAAACAGCCAAGGAATAGGAATAAGGGTACCCCTGCTTTCCAAACCCTCTGCAGGAGATGAGCACACTTGACTTTGGGGGGCCACCAAACTCCATTCTCAAGCTGTGGGAGCCTGAGTCTTAAGACAGAGGGCCACAGCATTCTCAACAATTTGGAATGGCTATAAAAGGGGCCAAGAAAATGGCTGGCCTTGAAGTTGGGAAGATTGAGGACTGGAGTGAAGCCTGTTCTCTAAAGATAAGAAGGGCCTCTGGTGGACTTCTCTGAATGCAGGGTGAACAAATTGACTTCTTGAGCCTCCCTCCAGCCCAAGGATTCTGTAATTGAAGGGAATGGATGACTCATTCTCAGAGTTACAGGCGTTTAGCCAAGCATCTCCTCACATGCATCTAGGACTTAACATCCCAGGTCTGCTGCCCACTCTTTAGATGGCTCTGCACAATTCATTTAACTTCTCTGCGCCTCGGTTATCTCACCTGCAAACTCAGCAACTGGATGAGACAATGCCAATATCCCTTCCATCTCTAAGCGTCTTTAATATTATTATTAAGCCATTAAGATCAAATAAGAGAAAGGGGAAAAAAAAAGCATTCTGCTTCTGGACTCAGCTTCTGTTGAGTCTCCAAGATATATACACAGGAGCTCTGCTTTAGAGAAGGAAATGATAAAAGGAGGACAAGTAGCATCCCCAGGCCACCTCCGTTCCCAGGCCCGCACCCATCAGAACTCAGCTGCAACTGTGAGGCCCCCATGTGAGTGCCAAGCCCCTTGAAAAACAAGGGAAGAGGTTTTGCCCGTGAATGATGTGTTGCTAAAAAGTGAAGACGTAAGACATCCCCACCAACATAAGGCGCTCCAGAGACCAGGAGCTCTTCCATTGTGCCTCCTGGGCCTCGGTTTCATCATCCATAAGATGGGGAGACTGGGAATGGCTTTACACTTGAATACTTCAGGTTGACCACCACAGCCAAGGGCCAAGTAGAGTGGACAGGTATTGGGTAGGATGGGAAGGGGGACCAGCAAAAATTGTGGGGTAAGATTTTGACGCCTGCACAAACACAGATCTCTTCAGAGCCCTCAACTGAAGGCTTCCCATTGGTCCCCTGTCTGGGATGGAGCACCAGGAGTGACCGGAGGGACTAGGCGCTGGGCTCCGGGGTGGGCTGCCAGGACCCTGGGCCGGCTCACCTGATGAAGGTGGTCTTCCCAGTGGAGTACTGGCCCACCAGCAGAACCATGGGCTTGTTGTCGAAGTCGGCATCCTCCAGGGCGGGCGAGTGGAACTCGTGGAAGCGGTAATGCTCTTCCAAGGGCAGCAGCTTGCTCTTGTAGAGTTTCTTGAGCCCCTCACTCACCGTCTGGAAAACCTCGGGGTCCTTCCTCCGGCGGTCGTCCGTACCCAGCCAGCTGAACATCGCGGCCGCCGCTCGCCCCCGGCACGCAGCCCCAGGGGAAGACTCCTCCTCAGGGGAAGATGTCCCGTAGGACCGGTCCGCCGGGCTCCGAGCCGCGCCGCCGCCTCACCCAAGCGCGGGGCTCAGCCGCACCATGGCCCGGGCACGCGGCTAGGAGGGCCGGGAGCGCACTCTCCCTGCTCCTGGGACCAAGCCCAGCCGCTGCTGCATCCAGCAGCCCAGGCCGGAGGGAGGATAAATAATCTGGGCTTGAGGAGGAGGGGTGAAATCTTGGCAATTAAAGTTGAACCTGCAAGGAAACTGCCAGATGCCGGGGTCCCAAGCCGGGGTCCCCGATCGGCCCCCAGCCCTCGCCTGCTCTGCCCTGCGTGCAGCAAGGGATGCTTCGGCTCCGCTCCTGCCGGACCGAGGCGGCTCAGGGGAGACGGCGACGCTGCCCAGCCCGCGGACAGCTCTGCATCCGCAGCAGCATCCTGCAGCCCCAGGCGGTGGTTTAAATGCCAGCTGGGCAGGAAGCCGGCGCGCAGAGGAAGTCCCCTAGTACTGGCAAGGCAGGGCCGGCCCCACGGTTGCGGCGACGGGAAGCCGCGCAGGGCGCCGCCATGTTTGTGGGCAGGCGCTCAGCTCTAGACCTGCGGCCGCGCGGGGAGAGGGATGCTGACCCAGTCCAGTGGGAGAGTGCCGGTGTCTCAGTCTCCGCCTCTGGGGCTTCGATTTGGGAACAGCGCCCTCTCAGGGACGGCTGCGAGGACAGAGTTGACCTATTCATCACACTCCCTGCTTTGAATCGCCTCTCCTTCAGTTGCTGAGGTCAATTCCCTAGGAAAACAGGTACTCTAGTATTGGGGGATTTTTTTTTTTTTTGGCATAGAAAGGGGATCCACTATCAGGTTACACAAAATAACCAAAACTGTCACTACCCAAACTTTTAGCTAGGCTTAGGGTGAAGTCAAAATCGTTCCCATTTACTTATTCATTCATTCCAGCAAAACAAAACAAGCCAAGAAGCAAAATCCCTGCAAGTATTGGGAATTTATTATGGGGCAGTTACAATTTTGGTGACTGTGGATACAGAGATGAGTGCTGAACAGACTCTCCCTTCCAGGAACTCCAGTGAAGGCAGGCTTTAAAGAGGAGGCATGAGCAGAGGGTCATGGGAATACAGGGAGGAGTCACTCCTTTTGTGTGGCTAATTTGAGGAAGGCTTCATGGAAAGCATGACTGTAAGCTGGATCCTAAATGATGAATTGACATCCATTGTTCTAGGAGCGTAAGGAGTATTTGCAAAGGCTTGAGGAACTTGGTGTGTCCAAGGCAGAGTAAACAGTTTGGCATAGCTGGAGTGTAGGGTTTAGGAAGGTGAAAGAGAGTGAGGGAGGCCAAGCATGAAAGGCTTTGCCAGAGATGGGGAACCAATAGCAATGCTATTACTAATCATTGTTACATTAACAAAATGCTCAGCATGTGCAGGGGCCTGGGCTAAGTTCTCAGTGAACATTGCTTTATTTAACCTTCATGGCAGATCATATTATCTCCAGCATCATACTAAGGAGAGTGAGTGGGAACACTGTCCAGGTGTAGGCAAAAGCAGTGCATCGTGTGTAGAGAATTTAAACCCAATAATAAACTTGCTGAAAGTTGATGTGCTTTGTATTGGCACCATTCTAAACAGTGTAGTGATAAAACACTCCTCCCTGCCCAGGCTAATGACTCCCACTACCCTCCCTTCCACAGATGAAGAAGGAGTAGGCTATGGACCAGGCAGGAACTGGAATGCCAAGAGCAGTGTTGGAGGGGCAAAAGAGGTTGGGGGTTGATATGGTTTTGCTTTGTGTCCCCGCATAAATCTCATCTCTAATTGTAATCCCCATAATCCCCATGCGTTTAGGGAGAGAGCTGGTGGGAGGAGATTGGATCATAGGGACAGTTTCATTCATGCTGTTCTCATGATAGTGAGTGAGTTCTCGTGAGAGCTGATGGTTTTATAAGGGGCTCTTCCCACTTGGTTCCTCATACTTCTCTCTCCTGCCGCCTTATGAAGGACGTGTTTGCTTCCCTTTATGCCATGACTGTAAGTTTCCTGAGGCCTCTCTAGGCATGCAGAACTGTGAGTTAATTAAACCTTTTTCCTTTATAAATTACCCAGTCTTAGGTATTTCTTCACAGCAGTGTGAAAACAGACGAATACAGAGGCCAAGAGACCATTTAGGAAACTATTCCAAAACTTAGGAGACAGCTGCAATGGGATTGGAGAAGAGGTCAGACTCAAAAGATTTTTTTCATGGAATAGAATTGTCAGATCTTGGTATGTGATAAAAAAAAGAGGACATAAGGGTGAGGCACAGTCTAGGATGATTTTGAATTTTCTACCATAGGGGATAAGATCATTGGAGAAGCTCTTCCACTAATTAGGGGAGGCAGAGAGAGAGCTGATTTAGCAGACAGAGATAATGTGTTCAATCTAAAACGTGTTGCGTTTGAAGTGCCTGCAGGAGCTTCAAGAGGAGTGTGGTGAAGCTGCAGGGATTTCAGGGGAGGGGGGATTATCAGAGGCCAGTGCTGAATAGAATCTCCTTAGTTACATCTCAGATCTCCCGACTCCCTCCTTGAACCCCAAAACTGATCATCTCTTGTTGAGAATTCACTCAGATTAATATTTCACCCTTGGTGTTTAGCTACTACCAACATACGAACCTAAGGAGTAATATTAAAGATATTTAACAACTCACAAGGCATGAGAATCAAACACCCGGAACAGACACTGGCCTTCCTAGTGGAGCAAGGCTTGCGGCCCCGTGCCACGCCTGGTGTTAATACAGTGGCGTCTGGACCTTGGAGAGATCTGAGCCTGTCCCCGGAGAGAGGTCAGTATGGCCAGCGTGACAGGAAAGAAATCAAGGGGCCCCATTATGGAAGTATTTCAAGAATTTTGTAATCAGTACGGCCATGCCATTGTCTACTGCTGAATGTCTGTTCCGAATATCTAATTTACCAAGTGCGTGTTGACACATCTACTCCCGTCTCAGTCTTGAGTAGTTGAAATCTATCTGTTTAAAAAAGGAACTAATGGAGCATTTCTATAGACTAGCAATAAAAGGTCATGAAAGATAATATTCAAAAAAGATACTGTGTTCAAAAGAACAAAAACTTACGGATAAATCTGACAAAAGATATGCAAGATCTTTATGTGAAAAATAATAAAACTTTATAGAAAGATGTTAAAGAAGTTCTAAGTAAATGGGAGAGACATGCCATGTTCCATTGTGGAAGGATTCCTTGTCACAAACATGTGAATTCTTTACAACATGATTGATAAATTCAATAATTGAGAGATATGATTGAAATCAAAATCTAAATAAGGTTTTCCATGGAAATTGACAAGGTGATTCTAAAATGTATAACTTATAGAGCAATAGTAAAAAAAAGCTTAGATATTCCAGGAGAAGAAAGAAGATAAGAAGAATAAGGAGGAGGAGAGGGAGAGGTGGAAGGGGAAGGAGGGCAGAAAAAGGAGAACAGAGAAGAGAAGAGGACAACAGTAACATAGCAATGGCAACAACTAAGCGAAGAGGACTTGCCCTAGTGGACATTGTTATGGAGTTACAGTGGTTAATATGGTTTTGGCACAGAGACCAACAGAATAACAACACAGTAAATAGCCAGGAAATTTGGAAGCCTGACATATACAGAAGTTGCAATAGAGATTGCATATATATCACCACAAAGTCAGGAAGAGTTCTTTAAACAAGACGTCAGAAGCACAAACTGAAAAATGAAAAAAACTAAGTTTAGCACTAGCAAAATTTAAAACTTTCGTTCAACTAAAAATACAAAAGTGAGTGAAAAGATATTTCCTATACACAAAAACCCATGAAAGCACATCCAGAATATAGAACTAATGGCTGTGCATCGATAACAAAGACAAACATTCCAATAGAAAAAAACTTGGCAAGAGCTACAAAAATGTCTTTTACAAGAGGCTACATGAATGCCCTATAAACGCAAGAAAACATGTTGCATCTCATTAGTAATTAGAGAAATGCCAAACCACACTAACACTCCATACCCACCAAAATGGCAAGAATAAAAAGTTGGATGGTAGGGTTGGTGAGGATGTAGAGCAATGGGAGCTCTCATAAAATGCTGATGGGCGTGCAGGCTGGCACAAATACTTTGGGAAACAGTTTGGCATTGCTTAGTGAAGCTGAAGATGTGCATGTCCTATGACCTATCTCCTTCCATTCTATTTCAAGGCGTGATCTAGAGAAACTCTTGCACATGTGCATAGGGAGATAAGTCTTAAGAATGTTGATGGCAACATTATTTGTAGCAGCAAAAATTTATAAACAACTAAATGTCCTTCACCGAGTAAATGGATAAATGTGCCACATTCATATAAAATATATACCACACTGGGGTCTAGTTGAGGGTGGAGGGTGGGAGGAAGGAGAGGAACAAAAAGCAAGAACTATTGGTTACTAGACTTAACACCTGGGTGATGAAATCATCTGTACAACAGACCTCCATGACACTAGTTTACCTATATAACAAACCTTCACATGTACCCCCGAACCTAAAATGAAAGTTACAAAAAATACATACTCTACAGATGAGAAAAATGAGGGAAGTGGTGCTACCTATGCCAAAATATGGTGTTGAGTGAATAAAGCCAGAAGTAGGCTATTATGCATAGAATCATACAATTTCATTAATGTTTCAGGTCATGCAAAAACCACTATCTGTTGTTCATGGATGCATATGTGTGCATTGAAGTTTTTAAAAAGAGAAGCAAAGGAACATAAAACACTAGTCAGGAATGGGGTGTTCTCTGGGACAAAAAAGGGAAATGGAATTGGGGATGGGTACACAGGGAGCTTCAGCTATATACTATATATACACTGTTTTCTTTCTTTTTCTTTTCCTTTTTTTTTTTTTTTTTTTTGGACATAGGGTCTTGCTCTGTCACCCAGGCTGGAGTGCAGTGGCGCCATCTTGGCCTACTGCAACCTCTACTTCCTGGGTTCAAGAGATTCTCAGCCTGCCTCAGCCTCGCAAGTAGCTGGGACTACAGGCATGAGCCACCACACCTGGCTAATTTTTGTATTTTTAGTAGAGATGGAGTTTCACCATGTTGGCCAGGCTATTATTCCTCAAATTTGATAGTGAATACTTGGCTGTTCATTTCTTATTCCTTTTATCCTTTATTTTAAAAAAAATCTGGTCCTTGGATGCACAAAGTTGGAATTTTTTTCATAACTGTGGTTCAAGACAAACTACACCTGGCTCCTTTATTATATTTTTAAAAAACTTAACACATGTTTTTGTAATGGACCCTTGATGAACCTATCATTCAAACCAAGGACTAGAAAAATTAGCAGCAATTTACATCTACTTATGTGCTCCTCCCCATCCTGTCTCCTGCCCCTTCTCCTTCTTTCTAGAGGGGACCCCTATCCTGAATCTACTGTGTGTTGTCCCCTTGCTTTTTAATTACGGTTATACACAAATGCAAGCCAAAAGAACATATTGTTGAAGTTTAGTGTTTTTGGACTTTTTCTAAAAAGCATATCCTGCTGCATGTAATGCCCCTGGAACTCGACTTTTCTTGCATTCAACATTTGTTTTCAGCCCCATCTGGCTCCACAGGGCCCTCTCCCACCAGGTGTCTCTTCCAAACCCAGCACATGCCTCCTATTTCTGTCACCTGCCAGGTGCATGGGGGTTCCCAGTCAGACAACCTGCAGTAGATGGAGTCCTGGTGTCCCCGTGTCTTTGCTGTGTGAGCTTGGGGAAAGTGGCTTCACTCTCAAGCCTTAGCACCCTGGTCTCTGAAATAAAGATGGCAATAGCATTTTTTCAGGATTAAAGGGACCGTGCATGTAAAGTGCCATTGAAAGTGTTCAGTATGTATTAGTTCTTAATATTATAATGATTATTACTTTTATCCACTACATGGCACTGCCTTATATCCTATTTAAGAAGCTGTTTAATAAACTATTGAATAAGCTTAGTATTTAATAGCTGTAATATTTAATAAGCTATTTAATATGCTGGCACCTAATAAGTTAGTGAGCAACTTCTTTCACTTCATTTGTGTCTTAACTGAGGATGGCTCATTGACTCAAAGGAATATAATTTTTAGTAGTGATATCTGTGGTGTTTGCTCTGGGTTCTTAGGGGTGACACTATGAAACAGAAGACTTTTCCATCTCTTCTGTTTCTCCCACTCAGATACTAACTCAGGCCGAACCCTCCTTAGCTTCCAAGATCAGATGAGATCGGGTGCATTCAGGGTGGTGTGGATACAGACACTTCCCTTTCTCATCCACAACACCAGAGTCTGGCCAGAAGTAAAGGGAGAAGATGGAAACTGTAGCAGCAACCTGGAATACAAGTTTGAGCCCTGGCTAGGGGAGTTAGAAGAATTGGGAAGTGGGACCAAGTGTCCATAATCTTAGGAATCTATGGCCCCTTTCAACCTGGCCCAACTACCATTGCATCCTGGTGACCTGCCTACAACCATGCACGCATGCGTGCCTCCCACAGCTGCTTCCTGCTCCTCACCACGCGGGCTCCTTTGCACACCCTGTCTTCAGCCTCAGTCTTCCCTTCCCCACCCTCTGCCTGGTGGGCACCCACTCATACCTTAAGGCTCAGTGTGGTGGTCCGCCCTCTGAAGAGCTGAGTCAGCAGCTCTCCCATAAGAAGGCTGTGCCCCTCTCCCCACTTCCAAGCTACCCCACGTAAACCTCTGTTACCGCATTCATCACATGTTACTATAATTACATGTTTAAATTGTTTGCCTTCCAACTAGACAGGGCACGTCTTCAGCCTGACGCAGTGCTGTACTCATTCTGTTTACTTCAGTTGGAGGCGAAAGTGCATCAGCTCAGCCAATTCCTACTGATGAGATCAGGCCGAGTTAAAACCTCTTTTTATGACAAGGTCCTCATCAGTGAAACCAGGGTAAGAGAAACACCAAAGGCAGAAAAGTGCCAATGACGCTTCACAATGTTGTTGTGGGGATAAAATGAAACAATGTAGGTCAAGGACCTGATACGTTTTTATAAGTCTATAGTAAGCGCTCAATAAATAGTTCCCTTTCCCCTTGGATGAATGAGTACTGAACGTGCACAAGGAAAGGGAAGTCTAGAATAAAAATACACAGGTGAGGGAACTGTGCTTAGGAAGTTTATAAGCCAAAAAGGAGATGAAGAAAGAGGGTCTGTCTGAGTCTAGTTGATGGGCTGTCCAGGAATAACACTCCCCATTCATACCATCGGTACCACAGCTACTTAATTGCTGGAATGCGGCTGTCTCATACATAGCAGCTCTCCTTGGCAGAAAGTCAGTTTCATCCCTGGGTGCAGCAGGAGCAGAGCTAACCTGAGAAATCCAATATTACACGGAGGAAAGCCCACACCACGAGAGGCAGCGGTGTGTATCTGGTTTTAATAAGATGCCTGCTTCTAAGAACCTCAACTTCCAAAGGCAAGACATTTGCTACCTGCAAGATGTGAGCTATAATTCGAAAATCTCCTAATTATGGTCAGTGTCTGCTTTTGTAGCACAGGTGTTTCCAGAGCGTGGGCATCTAGTCCTCATGGCAATCCTGAAGAGGAAGATAGGGATGTTTCCCAGAGGGAAACTCAGGTGCAGAGAGGTAGGAAACTGCCCACACAGGCATCTTTGATTGAGCTATCTATCATCCTACTCACTTTCCCCTCAGTCCACAAAAAGTGGGAGGCAGCTTACCGAAATCCCTTGAATTCTAAAAAATAAATGAACCCTTGAGGCAGCTGATATGAGGGGAATGGGCAGGTGAATGGTACAGAAATATCAGAGGGAGATGAGCAGGAGGCCCCCAGAGGTGAGCAGCCATCACACTGGGCTCTGAGCTGCTTGATCAGTGCAAAAACAGAAACAAGTTATTAGTTCCAAACCCAAATATATCTGTCTGTCCCTGCCAGCAGGATCTTGATTGCACCATCCCACTCAACAGCCTCGCTTGGGTAAGGGAAACACCAAAAGCAGAAAAATCCATGCTGAAGGACCCCAGGACCAGCACCAGTTCCTGAGCATCTTTCCCGGGCTGTAAGTGTTGTTTACATGTCTGTCTCTTTGCCAGGGGAGATAGAGGAAGCACCTTGAGGAGAAAAGCTCTCTTTTAACCCTGCACAGGGCTGGTGCAGGCACTGAAGTTGACTCATTCCTGATGTGGCTTTTGACAAGCAAACAAAGATTAGAAATGTGAATTACCTGTAGTTGGCCAATTATTATAACCTTATATGTTATAACAGATAAGTCTATGACTACAAAAATGTCTGTGAGCACAGAGAACCTGATAAAGGCAGAACCTATGAGCGTGGGATATTTAAAAATACACAGGCAGACAAAGTGGGGTATTAAAGTTTGGGGTGATAATGTATCAGGAATTATTTCCGCATTCTTTACTAGTTCTCTCGGTTCAATGATCTTCTGTTCTCCTTTGATTTGTCAAATCTTAAAGATAAATTATTATAAATTATTAGATAACACAATCCTTATTTCAGAGTTATCTATTTTGTTTCCATGAGTTATTTGCCTAAATTAGTATTATGCCATTTAAATTACAACAACTTTTGATAAATTTTAATATCTGGTATGAATAGTCGCCCTCCCTTACTAGTATGTTTTTAAAATTTCTTAGATATTCTCACTTTCTTCTTATTTTCATCATTGTCTTCCTCCTCCTCTCCCTTTCTGTCTTTTATTTTTTCCAGTTGAAAAGTAATTATGAAAATTTGGGGGTAATTTTGCTTCAATCTTTTCTTTTGTGCACTTATATTTAACTTACCATCTGATCTTTTCCCCCAGTCAACACCATACCACCAGTGTTTTTACATATCCTGAAAAAATATTCCAATAATTAAATTGAAATGAATGCTAATATTCAGCCATATGGAAATTCTGTAATCTAATTAACTATATTCAATAATGGACAGATAAGTCATTTGCAAAATTATTGTCAACAATAATAAAAGCTCTATTTCAGAGTTATCTATTCTGTTTCTGTGATCATCATTGAAAGATGAACATTTTTGTATGTAAATATTCATCCATGGTTTTATTTTCTTTGTATATATTTAATAAATGAAATTATTGGGAATATTATTAATGCTTTTGATACTTATCACCAAATTGCTTTCCAAAAAAGGCACATCAATTTATATACTTACCACAATGATATCAGAGTTCCTACATTTTTTTCTCTCACTCCAGCCCTGTATGTTATTATTTTAAAATATTTTCATTTTATTAAAATGTAGTTATCTCTCATTTAAAAATTTAAAACTTATTATTTTAAAATATCCATCAATTTGGGAAGTGAGAAATGATAGACTTTTAAAAATCAGTATATATTTTATTATGAAAAAGTTTTGAAATTGTTTATGAACCATTTATATTTTTCTGATTGTCTATTTTTTCCCTTATTTTTCTAAAAGCATTTAGTGTTTTTCGTATTGTTTTGAAAGAGTTTTTAATTTTTACAGTAAGGACATTTATTAATCTTTTGTCTGTGTCTAATCCAAGTTAATTTTAATGTTTCGCCAATTACCTTCTCCTTGTCTTCTCTCTCCTACAAAACCGAATCATTGGGATCTCTTAATCAGAATCTCATTAAAACTGTGAATTAATTTTAGGAATGACATATTTTTAATACTTAATCTTTCCCTCCAGGAATATGACATGACTGTCTATTTATTCACAAATCTTTTATATCTCTATAAACTTTTTATAGTTCTCCTCAAATAGGTCAAAAACATTCCTTGATTATTCTCAGATATTTTATAGTTTATTATTATTACAAATGAAATATTTCTATTATGGTACCTTCTAACTGGTTATTGTTATATATAGGAATCCCATTAATTTAAACAATATATATAGTTATTTTATTTACTATTTATTAATTTTAGTTTATTCTTTGTTTTTCTACTTACATAAAGATTATCAACCAGTGCTTTTCTTTTTTATTAATACTATGTTGGTTTATAATGTATATTTCATATTTTGGCTACAATTTTCAGAACAGTGTTGAAAACAACAAAGATGTGAGCATTCTTGTTTTGTTCATGATTTCAATGATATCCTGGTACCTGTCTGGATTCTTTTTTCTCTCCCCACCTCAACTTCTTCACCCCTTGGCTTGGGCATGATGATCTCTTTGAACACTTATTTTTTCCTTTTGGCTGGATAAAAAAAATATTCTACCAAAGCAAAGCATCTAGTGTGTAGTATCTTCTCAGCTTTAACAGACATATATATTTGTATGTGTATAGAAGCCTTCATATGTAAATGTATATGTGTGTTATGTACTGAGTGTTCTTTCCTGGGAGCCTGGGTAGATGGTGGTGCCATCAATGGAAGCTGAGACCGTAGAAGAGTCTCAGGAGCAAGCAGTCAGTTTGAGGAGTTCTCTATTGATAGCCACAAGAATACTAAAGCACTGCCCCAGTCTCTTCTCAAAAGGCTTTTCCTTTACAGGATGGGACGGAATTCACATGTTAAAGAGACAAGAGATTTAACTGATGACACACTCAACGTGGATCAATACTGAGATGTAGTTGCGAAAAATGACGATGGGATTCAGGCTGTATGAAAACAAACATAGGAAAAAATGACTATCAACATTGATGGAGAGCCTGTTATATGTCAGGTGTTATGCTAAGTATTCTTACATAGATGACTTCATTTCATTTGCACAGTGACAGCTCAAAATGTCATTATTCTCCCAGATAAAGAAACAGAAGCGGCCAGGCTTGGTGGCTCATGCCTGTAATCTCAGTACTTTGGGTGGCCAAGGCAGGTGGATCACGAGGTCAGGAGTTCGAGACCAGCCTGGCCAACATAGTGAAACCTCATCTCTACTAAAAATACAAAAAATTAGCCACGCGTCGTGGTGGGCGTCTGTAGTCCCAGCTACTTGGGAGGCTGAAGCAGGAGAATTGCTTGAACCTAGGAGGCGGAGGCTGCAGTGAGCCGAGATTGTCCCACTGCACTCCAGCCTGGGACTCCATCTCAAAAAAAAAAAAAAAAGAAAAGAAAAAGAAAAAGAAACAGAAGCTTAGTACTTAAAATGAGGCAGAGTAGGGGAGGTGTCACTGTCTTTCTGAAGGGTAGGATGTTGAACTGACTGATGTGCTCCAGATGGGGTCTGATGGGACATATTTAACAGTGAGGGAACTGGTCACCCTAAACTGTGCTGTGTGAATAATTTAAGGAGCTAAAAATTTGAAAGTTACATTTGAAGTGCTGTCACATGGGCTGGTGAAAACTCTGGATAGAGGGTGAGCCAAAGATAATCAATTTAGTACCGTGGTATTGCCCACTTGCAAGATTTCCGTTTCTTTCTGCATCTGCATGCTGATAACCTTAAACATTCCTGTCTCCAGTTTACACTTCTCCTTTTGTCTTAGTCAGTTTAGGCTGCTAGGACAAAATGCTGTAGATTGGGTGGCTTATAAACAATAGACATTTATTTCTGGCTGCTCTGGAGGTTGGAAGCCCGAGATCACGGCACCAGCATAGCTGGGTTCTGGTGAAAGTCTTCTTCCAGGTTGCTTGTTGCCAACTTCTTGTTGTATCCTCACATGGCGGAAAGTTGGCAGGAGAGTTCTCTGGGGTCCCTTTTATAAGAGCCCTAATCCCATTCATAACTCCGATTCATAAATCCCATTCATTGCTCCACCCTCATGATCTAAGTA
Source organism: Homo sapiens (assembly GCF_000001405.40). Lineage (NCBI taxonomy): Eukaryota > Metazoa > Chordata > Mammalia > Primates > Hominidae > Homo > Homo sapiens. The sequence goes on along the minus strand of NC_000002.12, from coordinate 31,222,874 downwards.
CCTCCACAAGGCTCCATCTCCGAATGTGATCACACTGGGGGTCAGGATTTCCACCTGTGAATTTTGGGAGGTCGCAAACATTCACTCCGTAACATCTTTGAACTCCAGATCTTTTTCTGACACTTTCACTTGGATATCCTGTAGACCAATCACACCTAGTCCAAGGGGTTAAAAGGTTCTCAAAAACCTCTCAGTAAGCACCAAATCCAATCATTAGTGAATAATCACAATTATGATTTTCAAAAAATGTATTGAGTGCATATTATGTACCAGCCCCTGGACTAAATGTTTTATATTCATTACAAAACAAACAATTGAATTTTTCCACTAATCATGTAAAGTATCTATCATTCCCATTTTGTGGATGATAACACTGAGGCTCTTAGAGGTGAGTTGCTATCTTGAGGCTATCCAACTAGTAAGCAGTAGCATCAGGGTCAAACTGCAGGCTGATCTGACTCCAAACGTAAGCTCTTTCTAGGATGCAAACTCCACATAATTCCAGAGAGGGCAGGTCAAAGTGAAGGTTGCTATGTGTTCGGGAGGCCCAGGTATGAAGGCCACCTAAGCGACTAATGTTTTCAGAGCTGCTTCCTCTTTCGAAAAAGCCCAGACTCAAAGACTTACTAGATATCATGCTTTTCAGTTGAGGGGAAGTTTGGTCTTTTATGCTTTGAAAGGCACAGATAAACCTTTCCTTGGAACTGTAGGAGGAAAATTCATTTCAACATAAGTCTCTTCCATGTTCTATTGAAAACTTTTGCCCACACAACTCCATAAAAGTGTGTTATTTTCTGTACATAGAGAATCCCTCTATTTTAAGATAATGCAAGCCTTAGGATGGCTATTTGACATAGTTGTTAAGGTGAGGAATTCCTTTGACTGGCAGACCTGAGGCATCCATGCTAGACACAGTGCTTCAGAGGGTTGTGTGTGAAAAACTCCCAGGAATTGGGGCTGCTACATTGGCAACTGTGCTAGAGCCCTCACTCTGGCTGGGGTGCTGCTGACTTCAAGGCACTTTGTCCCTCTTTTCTTGCATCTTCTGGGCATCAGTCGCAATGTCTTATTCACTTTTGTATCCTTGAAATTAGTCATGGTTTATTTACCACCAGGGCTTCTTTCCGACTATACCCCAATGACATGAAACAGAAGCCTTGCAACCGTCTCTCGGAAGGAAATGCAGAAACCACGCTGTTCTCCCTGGCGATCAGTGTTCCCTGTCATGAGCATCATAATGGCAAATACAAATACATTTTCTGCCAAGAAAGATAGGTAGTTTACAAGTCAGAAGGAAAACAAAGCCAAAAGTAAACCAAAAAAAAACCAAACCCCAAAAAGGCAGATGAACACAGGTAAAACTGTGAGACACTTGGAGAAAATGATATCAGGAACAAAGAAAGGGTCAAGAAGAGAATGGTTAGAAATATGTTCCTTAGTAGTGTATTGATTTGGACCCATTAAACAATGCCAAGTACACAATTAAAATAGAGGCAGAAAATAAGAAACATGCACTGTACCTGCCTTGCCTCCCTGATTGGCATGGCTCACAGCCCTGTCCCCAAGCCCTCCCCAGACAGAGCAGTCCTTGTCAATCAGAATTCACTCAAATTATTTGTTATGAATAAATGTTCTTGAAATTTTAATTAGCTCTCTGATAACTTAGGAAAACACCCTTCTGTTGAGAAAATAGCTTGTCTGTGTTTATTTTTCAAACTTCATAGTGAATTTCTTAACGAATATTTTTCTGTGACATTCTAAAAATATTGTGAATGTGAAGGATTTAATAACTTAGGTCTTGGAATTTACTTTGAAACCTTGGCGATGACTTTTCATTTATGAGCTACCCCACAAAGCCTCTTTTTATTATCTCGGTTCTTGGATAAATTTCTAATGCTTGAAAGTTATATATGGAATCATCAATTTTTCCTTTCATTCTTCTGAACTTGTTATTGTCTTTTCTCCCACTCACAAATCAAAGCCCTTCTCTTCTCCTTGTTGGATCCTGGTTTTGAAAATGTATAACCAAACGAACAAAAATCAGGTGGAAAAAAACATCAAGGAATAGCATGACTTGTCAGTTAGTGGCGTGATCTTGGCTCACTGCAACCTCTGCCTCCCTGGTTCAAGCGATTCTCCCACCTCAGCCTCCTGAGTAGCTGGGATTACAGATGTGTGCCACCACACCCAGCTAATTTGTGCAGTTTTAGTAGAGTTGGGGTTTCACCATGTTGGTCAGGCTGTTGGTCATGTTGGTCTCCTGACCTCGTGATCCGCCTGCCTCGGCCTCCCAAAGTGTTGGGATTACAGGCGTGAGCCACCATGCCTGGCCGTCAGTTAGTTTTATGAAGCTTTGGTGCTGCTGCAGCCACCACAGCCTGACATCCCCTGTCTGTGGGGCTGCCAGAAGTAACCCTGGCCAGGGTAATGCTACCCCATGACTTTCTCGCTTTACTCTTATGTTGGCAAAGGGAGAATCAATGGTTAGAGCTTAGCCATAGGCATTTCAGTAGTTTTTCTTATTTACAGTTGTGTTGGATACAAAACAGTTTTACTTGTTCCTTAACGTGAGTCTAATGAAACCCCATAAATAACCTGTGTGCCCATGAAGGGTCACCTTGGAGCAGTCATTATTTACTATCTCAGTACTCTATTTTATTCCTCAACTGGATTTTTTTACTTCTTATTTCAGTGCCCCAAATTCCAACAATCAGGGATTCATTTGGAAAAGGAGTTCTCTATTTTAAAAAATGCAAATATTATGGTGAGGTTAAGGACTTGGAAGCTATTCACACAGTAGTGAGACATCAGGAATTCAATTTGATTGCTTTCCCGTGCCCTGAAGGAATGAGAATTTTGATTAGAGGGAAAGGAAGGAGAAACTTTAGAGAGCAATTAGGTTTGTGGGAGAGGCAGATTATTTAGGGCACTTGGACTCTTCTAGAAGAAGTGGGAAGTAGGACATTAGAAGGTGCCACAGACGCATTTGACCTCCTTTGAATGTTTGCTCAAGGCTGGTCCCAAACAGAATCATAATATGTTGTAACAGAAAGTAGAGAGATGACGAGCACAACTGTGTTTCACATGATTGAGTCCCAGAAAGAGGAAATGGCTTGCCCAGCTTCACAAAGTTAGTGAACCTACATCTGTGTTTCTGACTTTCAAGCCAACCCTCATTCTCCAATACTCCACTGTGCCACCAGCCGAGGAATGCATTTCCCTCTTCTTTGCCTCCAGGACTTAGAACTCTAGCAAGTGCTCCGGTTCTACTGCTCCTGAGCTTGTGAAGCCCATCAAAGCCTTTCTGGGAAAGGCTTCACCACTCCTAAAATCTTGTTTCCACGGGAAAGTAAATTTCTGGTCATAAATCACAAACTTGCCAACCCACTTCTGGTCCACAGCCCACTGTGGGTCAGGATTGCCTGTGCCTTGCAGAGACAGAAGGCTCATCACCAGATGCACTTGCCTTCACTGCCTTTTTCTCAGGCATACTAGTCTGTCCTGGGTGACAGTCGGAAGCCTGGGGAAGGGATGTATGACCTCTGAGATGTTAAAAGGCCACAGTGCTGCTGTGCAAGGCTCCCCGGCCATCTGTTTCCTGTCACCCAGGACAATAACTTTCAAGAGTTGTCACGGGAGGAAATGGCCCTTGGGCCTTACCCTATGCGTCTCGGTGGCTCTGTGAATCCGCAGCACAATTTATGGTAAGCCCAGTGGTGACCATAACAACAACTTAGACATAGAGTGAGCCTAACCCTGTGCCAGGTGCAGGGTGCTGTCCCAAGGGATGAGCGGAAGCCCCCCACCTGGAGTCCCTGAAAAGATGATGAATAGAAGGGGGAAGATAACTAAGGGCCAGGATGAGGAGATGAAAATGAAAAGGTTATGTCTGGGAGATAGATAATAATAATAATGGTCTTCCCAGATCCACTGCTTCTGCTATCCTCATAACACCTTCAGACCCATGCGAGGAAGGGTGGCTATTTGGCACATGAGGCAGGGGGAAGGCTCCAAAGAGCGTTTAGCTCAGGAAGAAAGCTTTGGATTTGATTTGACAGTGGCAGGGAGACAATTCCTTGACAAAGATGAGGAGAAGTTAGTGGAACCTGACACCCTGGGACTTTAGCCCCATCTCTGCTGTTTACTGGCTGCGGTTATCTTGGGCGAGTTGCCATGCTGTGCCTCCGTTTTCTTTTTGTAGAATGTGGATAATAATAGCACTACCTCACAAAGTTGTGAAGATTCCATGAGATTCTGCATGCAATGTGCTTAGCATTGTGCTTGGCATGTCATAAGTGCTCAAAACGTGTTGGCTATTATTATCAATATTAGTTAATTTATCAGTACTAATAAAATGGGTGGAGTGATAATCACACAAAATGATTGAGTTGGAGAGATTAGAGTCAAGGCAGAGGCCAAGAAGCAGGCGGGGAGGAAGAGGACAGAGGATTTCCACAGGCAAGGGACTCTGATTCCACTGACACATATTGAGCACCTCCTGGGTACTAGGCATGGTTCTGGGTTCTGGGGATCCTAGGTGTGCAAGCGTGGAGGCAGGCAAGCTGGAACCAACTAAGCTGCTATGATGGAAATCTGTGCAAGTGGTGGTGGGAACCTAGGAGAAGGATTTGGGGGTGGGGGTGGGGAGGGAGTGAAGAAGTCTAGAGCAACCACAGGAGGGCTAAGAAATGCTTTAAGGGAAGAACAACCAGATTTGGAGCAACGGGACCCAAGGTGAACTGTGAGGAGACAACCAGTGGGAGGTCAATGTTCTGAGTCCCAGATGGCCAAAATGGGGGATTTGGAAAGTAGGTTGGGAAGGAAGAGGGAGCGATCTCAATAGCACAAATGAATCACAGATTTCCTCCTTAGCAGGAAACATCCCTGAGGGCTGCCTCAGACTCTGACAACCATAAAAGAAAACCCACAGCCACCTCTTGAAAATACTTTCCAGGCTTCTGTCAATGTTAGTTTAAACATAGGGATGTACAGGAATCTCTGTCTTGGTTCTTTGGTGTCCTGGGAGTTGTGGGGAGGTGAGCAAGCAGTATCATGTGCTCCTGCAGTGAAATGCTTTTCTAGGTCACACCTGAAAGTACCCTCCCCAGGGTTGGAAGTGAGAAGATGACTAACTCTCTCTCATTAAGGCATTACTGAAACAGGCTTTCTCTGTATGGTGTTCTAAAGAAATAATTGGATTTGTGTAATCCAGTCGCAAAGCCCTGGGTACTCCACTCCCTTCCAGAGAACACACAGTGGGGAGGAACCAAGGTCCTGGGAGGTGGGGTCGCAAATTCTTGGCTAAACACCATGTGTAGAAAGGACCCATATATAAGAGGTGGTTTCAGGCTGCATGCTTCTGACTGCACCGGGATTAGAGCTTGCCCAGGCGCTTAAAGAAGCAAAATCTCCTGTGCAGGTAAATTTCTTTAGTTCCAAGGGTGGGTCCAAGTTAGCCCAGAGGCCCTATGAGACTCTACAGGGTCTGGGTTTAGAAGGTGAGAGGATGGTATTTGCTTCTCCTGGTTTGAGCTTTGCAGGTGAGTGTATACAGAAAAAACCCTGGAGTCTGGAGATTTCAATTTTGTCCTCAGTTTTGCCATCACTTATTAGTGTGACCTTGAGGAATAGACTTCAGCCCTTTGGCCCCAATCTCCTCATTTAAAAAAAAAGATGGGAGTATCTTTGGGCCTGGGTAATTTCTGAGGTCCCTCCAGCTCTGGTTTCTCTCGAAGTCATTTGGTAGAGTTACTGATGCTGCTAGGTGCTGTCATTTCCCAGAACATAGGCCATCCCAGTTGTCTCCTGAGCCTCCTGATGAGAAGGAATCTGGGGGCAGCCAGCTTATCACTGAGGCCTTATGGGATCCTCAGAGTCAAGGAGGCCGACTGTTCTCTGTTCTGATAAGCAGTGAGGCTGGGCTGACTTCCTGTATGAAATTAGATGTGAAAAACACACTGGGACGGTGACCACACTATAAGAGTGAAATATTGCCTCAAATGATAGCTGTCAGTGTGGTGCTTGGCACGGCCCTTGCCTAGATTAGAAATCTCGAAATTGCCCTTGTCTGAGTGGTCTGCTGGCCTATGGGCACTGGAAATCACTCCTCAAAGCTCTGGAGGACTCCAGAGCGAGGTAGTCGGCTCTCAGTTCAGCTTATAACCCTCTCCTATGGAGGCACAGGGTGACAATGTTTTGGTGGGTGGTACCTAAGTGTTTCAGCCTGGGTACATCTTCCAGGCCTGATAGGGTGAGGGGTGTCTTTGACTTTCTAGGGGGAGAATTCTTGGATGAGTTAGGTACTGGCCATTTCACAGAGTGGGCACCTCATGCTGAAGAGTGAGGGCCCTTTCTAGAGTGTGAGCCTGGTCGTTGGACTGTGACTTCCTCGAGGGCAGAAATTCTGTCTAATCCATCCTGTACCCCTACCATCTAGGGCAATGCCTGGCCCATGGGGAAGCATGCAATAAAGCCTTGTTTAAATGAATTGATTCTCCCACTTTTCAAACTCCCTTGTAAATCTCTCTCCTGACCATCAAAACAAGCAGTAGAAAAGGAATGGAATTGATGTAACTATCAGTGGTATAATTGGTTTGGTGATAGATCGCTCGACCTCAAGGGTAACCACTAAGCTAATTTCTAACATATAGATTGGTTTTGTCACTTTTGAAAGTTATGTAAATGGAATCAAAGAGTTTTTGTGTCTGGATTTTTTCTACTTAATATTGTTTGTGAATCTCATCATATTGCAGCATGTAATTCTTGTTTGTTCAGAGCTGTGAAGTATTTCATTGTATAAATGGTTATCACTATTATTAATATTTATCCATGTTCATGGACATTTGGGTAGTTTTCATTTGGGGATATTTTGCATATTTCTGTTGTGAGTATTCTTGTACATGTCTTTTGGTGCATAGATTTAAGCATTTCTGTTGGGTAATAACCAGGAATGGAATTGTATCATATAGTTTGTATGTGTTTAGCTATAGTATTTACTGTCAAATAGTTTCTTTTTTTTTTTTTTTTCTTTTTTAAGATGTTTCTAATTGACTTACTTTTTCCAAAAGTTTGCCTGGGTTTTTAACTGCATACTTTGATCTTCTGGAGTAGCGTTAATCAGAGCCTAAAATGACCGGCCAAGTCTTCCAGCCCAGGAGTGGGCTTGGGAGAGGAGGGGGCTGTTAACCAGCATTCTCTCCCCAGTTCATGAGTGTGAGTGAAGGGCAGGAAAGCCCCACAAGGAGAAGACAAGAGGTTTCCAGGGAAGGCTCTGGAGAGGAGGGACATTTGCCCTGAGCTTTGAAGGATGAGGGAGATTTGAGGTAGAGGGGGTCAGGAGGAAGCGACATCTCCTTTGTAAGTTTGGACAGAGCAGAGGGTGTGTGGTGGGGGTTTGTGTACACAGAAAGGAACTAACACACCAAGAGCCTGGCCATTTGGACTTGAGGCCATGAGCTGTGTGGTTTTGAGGGCGTGACGTGAAATGGCCAGTCCTATGGCAAATGCAGGATCAGAGGAGGAGATGAGCTACCTCAGTCTGACCGCTCATCTAGCTCAAATTCCATGACTCTCTGAAGATGCAAATGCCCCTGCAAAAAAAAAAAGGAATGAATTTACATCTGCTTTAAAAGTCTTTCCTGTCCAAATGTGTTGTCAAATGTTCAGAATCATTTGATATTTTGTTTTAAAAAATCAGAAGGATTGGCTCTTTAAAAGCGTGGGAATGGATAGAAAAAGAAGAGTAGGGGATGACTCTCAGACTAGGGTGCCGCTACCTCTTGGGGTTGAAAGTGTCAGAGCAGGGCAGCTGGAGGGGAACAGAGTGACTCCACTGAAGTCATAGTTTAGGAGGAGGCTGTACAAAGAGGGTGTGCCTGTGCCGGAGAGAAGAGATGATGCCCCAGGGCTCCCCCAACAGTCAGGCCAAGCAGGCCATGACTCCCTGGAACTGCTCAGAGGTCCTGTCAGTACATGGGGGCACTGAATTGGATGACCACTAAGTTCCTTCTAGCCTCATATTTGGTTCAGCTGCAATGAGCGACGCCAGGGTGCAACTTCCACAAAGGCCGAGCGGATGTTCCTTTGCTCAGGGAAAGCTGTGTCCAGGTCGTGGCAACTCAAGGTGTACACCCATGCTCCAGGGAGTCTTATTCTCTGCAAAGATTTGTGACTATGCAGTGTCTCATAAAGTCAAATGGAAGTGGGGCAGCTGGGGGTGAGTAGGGAGCTCCAACAGCCAAGTTCTTAGACCTCCATAGAGGCATGCAGTCAGCCCAGGGGACGCCTACCCCAGCATTGCCAGTTAAGGGACTTCCTGCCGCTTCTCCCCCACCTTCTCCCAAGGTGCATGTTCCCTTTGGAGACTTGTTTTTTCTTTTAGGTCTGACCTTGGTTTTACTTCCCCAGGTTGCTTTGACGTGGATCCCACATACCACCCAGGAAAGGAGCCCTAAGGCAAGCCTGGATGAGCATTTTGGAGGGGAAGGATGTTAAAGAGGCTCCCTCAACCTAAATCAGGCCCCAGCAATGTGATCAGACACCAGAGGAGCAGCCAAGTGATTGACAGTTCACAGGAAGTTTTTAACTTCCTTTATCTCAGTTCAGCTTCATAAGAGGGGAGGGGAGGGCACGCTTTATTGTTCTTTACATTTTCCAAGTGAAGAAACATCCATCCCTTCTGTCAGTGAGTCAATTGGCCAGCATTTATCAAGCATCTGTTTATTCATGGTATTATGTGACTATATCATGAATGATCACATCTGGGAATACAGATTTTAAAAAGCCTATACCATTCTCGCCTTCAAGAACTCATAGTTGGGCCACATTCATCATTGTTTACTGAAAGGCAAATGTCTGCTCTAATAAATGAAGAATCATGCTTGGGGTTTTCTGTTAGAAACTTGATCTAAATGCAGACAGATGTCTAAACAGTAAAAGAAAAACAATTTAAAGCCTTTCAAACCATTAACATTACAAAATCATTTCATCTTTTATGAACAGGTCATGATATGTACATAGAGATGCTGTTTTCCTGTTCGTAATCAGTAACCACAGAACCACCTGAAAACTGCCCAGGAATGTCTGATGTTATCACATCTAAATAAGGGATTAGATGTGAAACTTTAGCAGAGAGAAACTGCAGGCCACATTTGCAAGTGTTTTGAGACATGATTGTAACTGTAAATGTTAAGGGTCTATTAAAAAGTCAACGAATCAATTAGAGATAAAATTGTTTCATTAAGATAAATTCTTAATGATGGATTCAACCAACCACATTTTAATCTGTGAGTTCCTACTTGGAGCTTACCCCTGTGCCTAGCCCTGCAACAGCAATCTACCTGGTTAAACAGTGCTTTAGAGCAGTGCTCAGCAAACTTTGCCTATGAAGGACAGCATAGTAAATATTTTAGGCTTGTGGCCCCTAAGAACTCCGTGGCAATGACTCAACTCCGCTGTTGTAATGCGAAAGCAGCCACGGACAATACCAGACAGATAAGTGTGGCTGTAGTTTCAGTAAAACTTTATTTATCCAGGCTGTAGTTTGCCAACTCCTACTTTAGACTTTTGTCAAGTCTTTTCACACGATTATCTCTTTTGAGTTCTGAGAGTAGGCACAGTACATGTCATCCCATATTGAGGGTGAGGAAGCCAGCTCAGAGAGGATAAAGGAGTCAGCACACGGGCACATGGGGAAGAGGTGGCAAACTCACTTGCCTTCTGGGTTTTCCAATCCCAAACCCAGCACTCCATGGCCACTGCACACCACCTATTACACAAAAGAAGTACAATCCCTGCTCAAGATAAATCAGGCAAAGCCTATAGTTAGTCTTGTTCTTTTGTTCCGACTGTCGAGAGCAGGGAATTGATCATTTTTCAATCTGGTGCTTTTTATCATGTAGACAGAGTCTTGTACAAAGAGCCTAGGTTTCTACTACAATTTTGCCTGAGACAACTTAGTGGGTTGTGGCAAGATGCCAGAGTTCTCTGGAAATCCATCATCCCCCAGGAGGATTCTACAGGTTCATGTGAGTGAGTGCATGGTACTTATTTCTTTTGCTTCCGTTCCAGAGACCTGACTCTACCCTGTAGGTTGATCAAAGGCCAGGTGTTACATTCCCAGTCTGAGACATAGTGTCTAGCACATAGTAGGTGTTCAGTAAATGTGTGAATGAACTGAACATCAGGGCAGGGACTCAAGACACTGAATGGACCCCTGGGAATTAGTTCCTATTTTTGCACTCTGGTGAAATTCCTGGGAAATTCCTTTCTATTTCTTAGGATCTCAGTTTTTCCCACTTTAAAATGGAGCCCAGAATTCTCAACTGCTTCAGAGATGGTTGAAAAAGTAGCCACCACCAAAGAAAGCCAGGATTTGGGCAGATCTTATTTTTCCAAATCAAGGCAGTAGTTCATCATGATGATGCCAGTAGGACAGGAATCAGACAGATCCCCTGGTTTTTCTATATAAATTTAAAATTTTAGTTTGAATCAACTATATTGAGGCATGATTATATATAATAAACATGTACCACATTGTGTTTTTTTTGTTTTTTTTTTTTTTTGTTTTGAGACGGTCTTATTCTGTCACCCAGGCTGGAGTGCAGTGGTGGGATCTCAGCTCACTGCAACCTCCACCTCCCAGGTTCAAGCAATTCTCCTGCCTTGGTCTCCTGAGTAGCTGGGATTACGGGCGCCCACCACAGCGCCCAGCTAATTATTGTATTTTTAGTGGAGATGGGGTTTTGCCATGTTGGCCAAGCTGGTCTTGAACTCTTGACCTCAAGTGATCTTGGCCTCCCAAGGTACTGGGATTGCAGACGTGAGCCACTGTGCCTGGCCATGTTTTTAAGTGTGTTGTACATAGTTCATTGAGTTTTGATGAAAAAATATACAGATGCAACCACCACAGTCAATATAGAACATTTCCATTACCCCAAAAGTTATTTTGCACTCCTTCCTGAGCAATTCCCTCTCCTAGCCCCAGGTAACCACTGACTTGCTTTTTTTTAAATATTGTATTTTTATTAAACACATTTTTTTCCTCATGATAAAAGTAATACATACTAATCGAGGAGTCCAAAAATATAGAACAGTCTAATAAAGTAAAATAAATGTCTTAGTCACATTATCCAGAGATAGTTCATATTCTTATTTATATATATTTTCTTCCCATCGTGTGTGTGTGTGTGTGTGTGTGTGTGTGCACATGCACACGTGCTCATTTAATAATATTGGGGCCATGATCTATATACAACTTCATTGGTCATTGCATATTTATCTATGATGATTTTATCTAAAATCATTTTGCTCCAGAACCTGTAACTGACTCCTGTATTTGATTAATGGCACCAGGTTACTCAAACTAGTAACCTGAGTCGCTATGAAGAATAGATTTTTTTTCCTAATACATTTTCTAGTTAGTTCTTGCTGTTTTAAAAAGAATACCACCGAGTTTCTGTATAGTGTATTTAACTTGTATTCATTGACCTTCTTGAATTCTGTTATTTCCTATGGTTTTTAAAAAATATTTTCTTAGATATTCTACATGTAAAATAACCTCTTCTGTGAATAATAGTCATTTTTTTTGCTTTCTGATTTTTGTGACCCTTCCTTCCTCCCTCCCTCTCTTTCTCTCTTTTTCTTTCTTTCTCTCTTTCTTTTTCTTTCTTTCTTTCTTTTTTCTTTCTTTCTGTTTTATTGGCTTAACTAGGAATTACAATTAAAAGTGATTAAGAATGGTAGTAATCACCATTCTTATCTTCTGTTTAAGGAAATATCTTTTATCTTTCCTCAGAAAGTATGGTGTTCCTCTAGATTTTTTTAGTAAATATCTTTTCTTGGGTTAAATAAATTTCATTCTAGCCCAAATTTATCCTAGGAAAATAATTCGGATGTGCTCAAAGACATAGTTAAACTCTAGTAATACTGTCACTGTTTAGTGAAAAAGAAGAAATAACATGAAATTCCAGAAACAGTAGATTTTAAAAATAAATTTTGGTTGACCTATGATTTGGCATGCTTTGCAACAACTAAATACGTTCTTGTATATTCAACTTATTGGCAAAGGCAAGTGTTCATTAGATATTGTCAAGTAAAAAAAGTATAAAACACAATGTATAATATATTCACTTTCATTAGAAAAATAATTAAGCATAGAAAATTTTCTCTAAAAGTATACATTAAAATGTTAACTATGACTATCATTGAGTAGTGGAAATATGGGTAATTTATATTTCCTTTCTTTCCCTTGATTTTTCTGCAATAAATATATGTTATTTGGATTTTAAAATGAAAATAAGTCAACTCATAACTAAGTGAAAACTAATTCTCCTGACTTGAAAGTGATTAGAACAAATGTATAAAAACCTGCAGTCTGACTGAACTTTTATTTTATTTTATTTTATTTTATTTTATGTTTTATTTTTTTGAGATGGAGACACGCTCTGTCGCCCAGGCTGGAGTGCAGTGGCGCAATCTCGGCTCACTGCAAGCTCCGCCTCCCGGGTTCACACCATTCTCCTGCCTCAGCCTCCCGAGTAGCTGGGACTACAGGCACCTGCCACCACGCCCGGCTAATTTTTTTTTTTGCATTTTTAGTACAGACGGGGTTTCACCATGTTAGCCAGGATGGTCTTGATCTCTTGACCTCGTGATCCGCCCTCCTCAGCCTCCCAAAGTGCTGGGATTACAGGCGTGAGCCACCGCTCCTGGCCCTGACTGAACTTTCAATGGCAGAGATACAGTATTCATTTCTGTCCAGTTTGTGAGAGTCAATGTTTTCACTGACATCAACCTCTCTTTCCAAATGAGTTGTAAGACCACCCTTTGTAAAGCCTTCACAGATTCTCACCTGTGGCTATGGACTCTGTATTCCTGGACAACACGGAAACTTCCAGCTGGACAACCTCATAGGACCAGGCAATCTGCTGTCTTAAGGTTGACCAGTGCTGTGCTGGTAATATTCAACAACTAGCTCTCAATTTTTTTTTTCTTTTAAAAGGCCAAGTAGCTCTGATTTGTAGCATTTACCCATTCCATGGTATGGACACTCCCATGATGGCCAATTACAAGGTACTAACATGGCATGATGGAATACAGACTTGAGAAGAGATGTGCACAGCTGGCTCCTGTCATCCTGCTCACACTGGCTACTGAAATATCACTGAGACCCACCTGAAGGAGTAAATTTTGACACAAGGTGTATCTAGAGTCTGTTCCTTCTCCCACATTTAAAATGTTCCCATTTACCTTTTAGTAAACACTAACATATTAAATAGGCAGAGGGTTATCAGGAGAGACAAGGAAACCCTGCCTGTATACAGGGATTGGGGTTTGGAGTTTGCGCTGCTGGCTGGTGTATCCCCAGGTGTCTTGTCTGGTGATGCTCCTGATGTTCACAAGCTAGTTAGCGTTCAAAGGCCTCCTCCTCTGGATCAAGGCACTTAGGTTATCTGAGCACCAGGTTATTTGACACCTCTCACCATCATAACGCCCTTCCTAGCACCCAGCATCTATAGATAAGGGGAGAATAGCCAGTATGGAAGAAGTGAAGATCAAAGCCTGACTCTCTGTTTACTTCCTGAGTATAAATAAATTTTGGACAGGCACGGTGGTTCATGCCTGTAATGCCAGCACTTTGGGTGGCTGAGGTGGAAGGACTGCCTGACGCCAGGAGTTAGAGACTAGCCTGGGCAACACAGCAAGACCTCATCTCTCCAGAAAAAAAAAAAAAAAAAAGTTAGCTGCGCATGGTGGCATGAGCCTGTAGTCCTAACTACATGAGAGGTTGAGGCAGAAGGATCCCTTAAGCCCAGGAGTTCAAGGCTGTAGTAAGCTGTGATCGTGTCCTTGCACTCCAGCTTGGGTGACAGAGTGAGACCCTGTCTCTAATAAAAAATAATAGTAATGCTGACATGCAAAACACTGCAGAACAACCTGGCAGCTTATGGGGAGCCAAGGAAAGAACTCTGAGGCCCATGGAGGATGCTTTTAGGCTGCACATTCTTAAATAGCTCGAGCCCCATTAGCCTTCACCTATCTATTTGCATAGTCTTATTTTGTGGACCTGCTCCAACGCTGCTCACTTACAATAGTCAAAATGAATTTCCAAATGTGACCTAGACCCATCTGGCCCTTTGTAGAGAGCTGTGCCAATCTGGAAATGAGCCAATTTCATCCATGGTTTGTAATATATAGGAAACATGCAAGAACCGCCAACTGGTTTCATCTGGGCCTATATTCTCCCTAAGGTGACTTAGGAATACTTATTTACAAATAAGATTGTGTGTGTATGTGTGTGCACGCACACATGTGGCCTCATTCTAAACTTTGGAGGGTGAGAGGAACCTGTGATGGGTGTTTTGTCTTCTGAGCCCATGATGTACTGTGCTTGTCACAAGATGTAGTATTTGCAGGCTTGAAGAGGAATCCAGGTATGACCCAGCACTTGGTAAGGAGGGCATGAGCCTGAGGGAGGTTCTGAAGCCAAGGGACCCTCTATCATTTTTCACAGGACAAGCAATAAAGATTGTTGTAAAGGCTTGAAGGGGCAAAAAGGGAGACCTTGCCTTTGTGAGGCCTCAAGTTTGTTTATAAATGTGCAGGTGGTAGAAGAAACTTCCTGGGAAGAAAATGGGGTAAGCCTGGGGGAAGCTTTGCCTACTCATCCACATTAGGGAAAAAAACTCCAGTTTTTTTTTGGAGTTTTTTTTTGGAGTCAAAAAAATAAAAGACCTGAGTAACAGCTTTTGAGTTTCTGTGACCTGGGTTAGAAGAGGGCTGGGTCTTCCCCCAGGAAGTACACAGGCACCCGTGACAAATAAGAATAGCCAGGAATCGACTGCCCTCAGCTCTCAGAGGTAAGGGTGTGAGACAAACAACATTCCAGCAGTGCTAATCCTGCAGAGGATTCAAAAGCCATTAGGCAGAAGAGGCTTCTGTGCATACATCACTCAGAGCAGAACCACAGTGGGGCCACTCCACCAACTGGTCACTGGCAGTGCTTGATGAGCTACCTACAAAACTGAGAGCAAGTGTTTAGAAACTTTTATAGCAATTGATCAAATAATTTAAATTTAATTTAATTTTTGTTGAATCTAACTTCTTTTTTGAGACAGAGTCTTGCTCTGCTTCCCAGGCTGGAGTGCAGTGCCGCCATCTCTGTTCACTGCAAACTCTACCTCCCGGCTCAAGTGATCCTCCTGTCTCAGCCTCCCAAGTAGCTAAGATTACAGTCATACATCACCATGCCTAGCTAATTTTTGTATTTTTATGTAGACGAAGTTTTGCCATGTTGCCCCAGCTGGTATCGAACTTCTGGGCTCAAGTGATTTGCCCACCTTGGCTTCCCAAAGTGCTGGGATTACAGATGTGAGCCCTTGCACCTGACCTGAAAAAATCTTAAAGGGGGACTTGACTTTATGTATCTTTTAAAATGTTATGTTTGTATTTATTCATTTTCATTAAATTTCTATGACAAATCGGAAATAAAAGAACATAGGCCCTTCACTAGTGATAATTTGAGAAGCACCAAGACAGTAGGTGCCCAATGGGGCAGACAATGGGTCCATAGACAGAATGAGGGGATCTCAGCGAATGCCAGGCACTCAAGGAGGGCTTCCTGGGGAAAGGACTCAAGTTAGACTTTGGGGGATGGGCAGGACCTTGACAAATGGAGAGGACCCCAGGTCACTCCTACAGCCATGAGGGAGAAGTCACACTCAGTATAAGCACATTTGCGAGTTACTTTTAGGGCATGTACATTCTGTCCCAAACACTGTGCGGGGTGTAATAGGCAGTTTGTAGCACTGAGAGCTGAACATTGTTATGGGAGTCAGGGCTCTGGGTTCTGGATACAGCCCTTATAAAATCTCCCTGTATAGCACCAGGAAGATCATTTAACCCTTCTCGCTCTCCCACCCTCTAAACTGTAAGAGCCATGAGGGCAGGGACTGTCTTTGGTGAGCAGTGCCTACCTCAAGCCTGACAAATGATAAGTTCCCAGTAAAATTTTTGGTGAATGAATGGACAGGTTTCAGTTGTAACACCTGAAAAATGGGGAGGCTAATAAGATTAGTGGTTTTGCAACTGTAAAATGAAAAACTATATTGTGTAGCCAACCTGTCCTGCAAGAAGCTCCAGGAAATCAAGTTTTGTAGCTGGGTTATCAAAATGGATTCTGGTAACAAGGAAAAGGGGAGAATGGGCACGTACTGGCAACTGTTGGTATTTGGCACAATATGTGTGTGTGTGATTTTTTTGTCCCCCTTTTACATTAGCAAGAAAGTCTTCAAGGAAGGATTTCTTTGTAAAGAGAATGTAGGCTGGGCATGGTGGCTCACGCCTGTAATCTCTCAACACTTTGGGAGGCCAAGGCGGGTAGATCACTTGAGGTCAGGAGTTCGAGACCAGCCTGGCCAACATGGCGAAACCCCATCTCTGCTAAAAATACAAAAATTAGCTGGGTGTGGTGGCGGGCGTCTGTATCTGATGCACTGCCGGCTCGCCCACGCCAACCTGCAGCCCTGCCAGAGCCTGTGACCGCCCGTGGGGGCCTTCTGTGAGAGACCCACGCACCCTGTGCTGGAGCCTGGGGTTTTACCCTTGACCCGGAGCGCAGCTGGGGGCTCCTGGGATGGGAGAGACATCCTTGGGAGGCCTCCACGTGGGAGCTGCTGGCCCCCAGCACCCCCTGCGGCCTTGCTAATCCCAGCTACTCGGGAGACTGAGGCAGGAGAATTGCTTGAACCTGGAAGCCAGGGGTTGCATTGAGCCGAGATCGCGCCACTGCACTCCAGCCTGGGCAACAGAATGAGACTCTGTCTCAAAAAAAAAAAATAAATAAATAAAAAAAATAAAGATAATGTAGGAGGAGGTTTTGCAGGGAAGAATAAGGAGGACATTGAAGCAGGAGGAATGCTGTGTGTCTGTAGCTGGGAGGCAGGAGTTGGCAGGCCTGGTGGAGGCCTGAGCAGGCAGCCACTACTCCCCACTACCTTGGCAGGCACAGGACCCTCCGGCCCAGGGGACTGAGCTCCAGCTTCCTGCTTCTCTTCTCCTGCCTCCCCACTAAGCAGAAGGGACCCCCGTGACATTGGTGCAGTCAGGGGCCCAGGACTCAGCCCTGAGGCTTGAGAGAACTTTCCCTTCTGTAGGCTTTTGCCACAAGATCCCTGATCTCCCACCAGGTCCTCAAGCACTTGAGTGAGTGCTCAAGGACCCACACTCTCTGGGACAAAATCGAACCACCTGCTTCTGTCTCTTTCTCACCAGCTGACTTCTCCGCTCCCATTCTCTCCATCCTTCCCCTCGTCTCTGTGGCAATGGCAAAGCACAAGGAGGAAGTGAGGAAACTGACCGTCCTCTCTCCATTTCAGGAGCAGCAGAGACTCCTCAGGAAGACTCACTGGACTGTACCCACCACCTGCCATGTCTCTGTGGCCACCTTTCCGATGCAGATGGAAGCTGGCGCCAAGGTACTCTAGGAGGGCGTCTCCACAGCAACCCCAACAGGACTTTGAGGCCCTGCTGGCAGAGTGCCTGAGGAATGGCTGCCTCTTTGAAGACACCAGCTTCCCGGCCACCCTGAGCTCCATCGGCAGTGGCTCCCTGCTGCAGAAGCTGCCACCCCGCCTGCAGTGGAAGAGGCCCCCGGTGAGGCAAAATGTGTCAGCCCAGACCCTCCTTCCCCAGGGTTTAGGGCTTTCAGATACTGCGCCTAAGATATATGGGAGAAAAAAACAGGCTTTTTCCTACTCTCTCCTCTCCACTCAACACAACACACTCTTCTAACACCAGATGTGTAGGAGGTTTTCCCCACATGCCAAGCAATTCTCTGGTGGCCACCATCTGGGTATTCTGTAATGAAATTTAATTCCGACACTGTCTACCTAGAGACGGTGTCAGATCTCACAGGTTGAGTGTTCATCCCACAAAACTGCCCCTACTTCAGATGGCAATCACAAGTCCCAGGTTGTGACCTGTACTCACGACCAGCCATAAATCAGGACCGTGATTCCCATGATCCCCTCCTTGGGTTTGATTAATTTGCTAGAGAGGCTCACAGGACTCAGGGAAATGCTTCGCTTACATTTAATGATTTATTTTAAAGGGTATGACAAAGGATGCAGATGACAGCCAGGTGGAAGAGATGCACAGGGCAAGGCATGGGGAAGGGGTGTGGAGCTCTCATGCCCTCCCTGGTTGTGGCACCCTCCAGGGACCTCCGTGTGTTCAGATATTCAGAGCTCCTTACACCCTGTCCTTTTGGGTTTTTATAGAGGCTTTATTACCTAGGCATGATTGATTACATCATTGGCCTTTGGTGATCAATTTAACCTTCAGTTTCCCTCCCCTCCCCAGTGATCAGGGGGTGGGGCTGAAACTCCCAACCTTCTAATCCTGCCTTGGTCTTTCCAATGACCAGACCCTATCCTGAAGCTACCTAGGGACCACCAGTCACCAGTCAATCATTAGCATACGAAGGACACTCTTATCACTCTAGAGGTTCCCAAGGTTTTAGGAGCTGAATGTCAGAAAACTGAGCAAATGAAGACCAAATATATATTTCACAATATCACACCAGGTCTTACTGTCATTGATCTCCATGAGAAGGGATGGGTATGTTCCCACATTCTCACTTTCCAGATGGAAAAAACCAAGGGTGATTTTGAGAATGGTCTAAGATGTAGCCCTCCCTCAGTCCTGCCCAGAAATATGCAGAACAGCTATAGCCAAAAATATATCAAGGTACTGTTTAGCTTCATCTGAGATGGCAAGGCTTCCTGAGTCACAGCCAATACCATCTGCCAGAGAGATAAATTTTAACATCTCTCCAACCTCCTACCCCCAAAACAGGTTCATGAAACATTTAAATTAAGAAGCTATTAATCACTTTACAAAAGTATTCTTCACTCTATAAAATGCATCAATTCCTTTAAAAAGCAACTTCTTAATGTGTTCAAATGTAATCCATCTCCCTGAAACTTGATTTACCTACAAGATTTCAGGAACACAGCTAGTGAACAGGGTAAAGTGTAAGCCTGTGCCACAGACTTTCCTTTTCTCTTCCCTACTCACCCATCACCATCGATACCTGCAGCCCCAGACTTATGAAGTCCCTACTGTGTGTAAAATTCTGCAGTGAGCCTCCTAAACTACATGGCAGCCAAGATCCTACTTCTCTCAGAAAATCCTGGGAACTGCTGACATAGAGACTCTGTTCTACATCTGACTTGGGGAAACTGTGTCCGCGCAAAGACTGAGAATATAAATCTTGCCACGGAGCAGAGACAACCCCCCTACCACCCCATCACAGGCTGCATCGCATCAGGAAAAGCCAAAAAGAACATCATATTAGGGGTCAGGAATAAGAAGGAGGAATAGGGGAGAAAAAAGCGAAAGAGAAGATATCTAGGAAAACTGAAAATACCTCCTATAAAAGTGTTTCCATTTTTAATAGAAACTCTAAGAAAAGGCATTTTTGGTATAAGTGCTATTTCTCAATATCTACACAGAGTTCTCCAGGGCTCTGACTTACACGAGCTATAAGAAGGAATGAGAAATACAAAGGACAGAATTCTGTATCCCAGATCTTCTGGGATAGCACTGATTACACCTATATTCTGTATCTTTGTCCCCATAAGTACAGTTTTGGGGTATGGGAAAACGTGGTCACTGTAGCTCCAGGAGCTTTTTTGTTCTAGGTCAGAATGACAATTCTGTTTGTCTTTCCCAGGAGCTGCACAGCAATCCCCAGTTTTATTTTGCCAAGGCCAAAAGGCTGGATCTGTGCCAGGGGATAGTAGGTAAGTTTGCACAGCCCCGAGAGACAGACACTAGGCTGCCTGCTGACCAGGCCTGGCCAAGACAGAGTGGTTGATAAAGAAGAGAAGCCAGAGATCCCCACTGGAGAGAGGCCCAAAATGGCTATTCACTGGCAAAACGCTACCTGGACATGTTCTGTTCTTTGCCGTGAAGTTTATAAAAACTGGTCCTCTGGGGATGCGTGGGAATGCCATACCCTGCCTAAGTCCTCACATAGTCCTCATTACCAGTTTACAGGTCTAAATTTAAATTTGGAAAATGTGCTCACTCTATTTTAGTTCCCACAATGGGTCCTTCTTGAGACAGCAGTCATTAGCCTCGCCAGAATAGGATCAAAGCAGATCTATCCTCAACTCTACCTTTTTAAAATAGTAAATTGGTCATCAGGGAAGGCTCAGCCAAGTCCAGTGATACCCATTTCACAGACAGGGAAATGGAGTCCTGAAGGATTGAGGCTTTCCCAGAAGAACATAAATCAGTTTCAGAGGCAAGATTTGGAAAAAGTGAGTGGCGTTGAGGTCCCAATTCCTGAGGATAGGGCATTCAGGAATCTAAAATTCCTGGTCCAGATCTAAAATCTGGCCCAGGAACATGGCTCTGGTTTTGGGGTCAAGTTGGATTTCAGCCAATGCTCCCAGCCCCACCTCTGCTCACTCATCATCCGCCTTCCCAGTATATAATTCCCTTCTCCTAAACTGGGCTACAAGCCCAGAGAGGGTGGCCATTGGGACCGGGCATTTTCTGCAGTCATAAAGTCCCCAGTAGATTCATGCAGATGCTGTGTGCTGTCTGACTTAGGAGACTGCTGGTTCTTGGCTGCTTTGCAAGCTCTGGCCTTGCACCAGGACATCCTGAGCCGGGTTGTTCCCCTGAATCAGAGTTTCACTGAGAAGTATGCTGGCATCTTCCGGTTCTGGGTGAGTGTCTTCCCGGGTCCTCAGCCCAGAGGGAGTCATAGGAAAAAGGGTTCCTGGAGGACCATGTCTTCACCTTCTGGGCTGATCACCATCTGCAGCAGTCCTCATTCACCCGGGGCCACTCTCTCCCTCCAGTTCTGGCACTATGGGAACTGGGTTCCTGTGGTGATCGATGACCGTCTGCCTGTGAATGAGGCTGGCCAGCTGGTCTTTGTCTCCTCCACCTATAAGAACTTGTTCTGGGGAGCACTTCTGGAAAAGGCCTATGCCAAGTAAGAAACCGGCAGAAATATCCCCCTTCCCATCGCTTCTTTTTCTCTCTCTCAATGTTGAGGGAGGGGAGTGGAGTCAGGTAAAGTTTATGAAATGAGATCCTGAGGCATGTCTTAGCCAACATAGAAGTGACAACGTATTCAGTCTTTTATGTAGGGGTCACCTCATCTAAACCTGCATTCAAGAGTTTTGCCTTTCCCTAATGGATAGAATTAAGGGGGATAGGAGCTCTGAGTGTATATTCTGTCCTTTGCTCCTGGGATGGAAGGAAGGAGTAGCAAGATACACCCAAAGAAAACCTAAGCAAAGGCTTCACTTCTCATTTGGCCCATCTAATCTACAGTTTAAATGCCTCTTCCTTTTGTTTTGAATGAAACCCTCTCAACGTAGCTGATCACTGCTGTCCCCAGCAGCTAAGAGGTCTGGATGAAGGAGTAGCAGCAGGGGATCCACCTGCTTGGGTCCCTGTGGGGCGGCCTGATCATCAGGGGTCAGATTGTGGGCACAGCTTCAACGACACAACTGCAATATGAAAGTTTAAGAGTTTTTCATACCTACAGACCCTAGAGGGTACTTGGCATGTATGGAGTGCACACACACACGCATGCACATACACATGCACACACACACGCAAACACAGACACACACATGCACACACACACATGCACACACACATGCACATACATGCACGCACACACATACGCACATGCACACACACACGTCCACACATACACACATGCACACACACGCACATGCACACACACACATGCACACATGCATGTGGAGGTCAGGGGGCCCAGGCGGAAAGAGAGAAAATGGACCTGTGGTGGACACATGCCTTTTCTTGAGTCCAGGGTGTTGTCCCAACAGGTTTCCCGCAAGCAGCTTTAACTGATGGGTTCAAAGCAAGCAGGCACTAGTTGAGATCTCGCTGTGAGTGACAGGCAGTCACTAAGTTCTCAGGCAAACGTCTGAATGGTCCATTTAAAGGAAGTGGTGGGAAAGAGGGGTTCCCAGTCTTCTAGGCAGGAGAGATGCCTCTAAGTTTTATCTATGACCACCAGCTGGAGCCATTCAGGATGGGTATGGTATTGGAAACTATGTCAGGGTTGCCTGAGCTCTGCTTTTGGTATGAGAAAACTAGACTCCTATTTAAAAGTGGATGCCGAGGCCACATAAAATTATAAATACTCATGATACTTTTTTCCTCTCATGTTTATTTCTTCCCTGGCCAGGCTCTCTGGTTCCTATGAAGACTTGCAGTCAGGACAGGTGTCTGAAGCCCTTGTAGACTTCACTGGAGGGGTGACAATGACCATCAACCTGGCAGAAGCCCATGGCAACCTCTGGGACATCCTCATCGAAGCCACCTACAACAGAACCCTCATTGGCTGCCAGACCCACTCAGGGGTGAGACTGGGCTGCCACTGGCAGAATGTCCTCTTCTCCTGCACCCATGCCCTCCATCCACCACCACTACCCTCACCTGGGTGTGGGCTCAGGGCCTCCACCCAGCTCCTAGTGCTGAGGTCCTGGTGTTCAAACCAGAGCAGCAAGGCCAGGTGCGGTGGCTCACACCTGTAATCCCAGCACTTTGGGAGGCCCAGGTGGGCGGATCACCTGGGGTCAGGAGTTCGAGATCAGCCTGGCCAATATGGTGAAACCCCGTCTCTGCTGAAAAATGCAAAAATTAGCCGGGCATGGTGATGGTCACCTGTAATCCCAGCTATTTGGGAGGCTGAGGCAGGAGAATCACTAAAACCCGGGAGGCGGAGGTTGCAGTAACCCGAGATCTCACCCTTGCACTCCAGCCTGGGCAACAAGAGAGAGATTCCGTTTTAAAAAGCAAAAACAAAAAAACCAGAGCAGCAGTGTTGGGGCCTCAGGACAGGCAAGGCAGTAGGAAAAAGAAGATGATGTGCAGAGAAGGAAGCTAACAATTATTAAGTGCCAGCTACATGCAAGGCACTTTCCACTTCCTATTTGATAACACTTGAAACAATGGAACAGGAATAGGAAGCCCTCAGTTCAGCCCTGCCTTCACTAATGGCCAAATGTGTCACCTCACACATTGACTCAACTCTAAATAGAGTTTGTCCTCTGTAAAATTGAGGGTATGGCATGATCACTGCAGAATGGCTCACTTAATGAGAGGGTGGAATGAGACTATGGATACCAAAGAGCTTTGAAAACTGCAATGTACCATACCATGATTATCTCCCACACTTCTCTCCATAAACCCCTGCTCCAGCCAAACAGCCTTCCCACGACTCAAAGAATAAGCTGTACATAACAGAAGACTGATCAGGACCTCTCTTGTCTCTGCAGGAGAAGATTCTGGAGAATGGGCTGGTGGAAGGCCATGCCTATACTCTCACAGGAATCAGGAAGGTGGGTTGAGGTTGGCCCTTCGGTTTCCCTCTCAGCCTTGCCCTTCCCTCTCTGGACCCTAGCTTATCTTGGTGGATTTAGTTTCTGTACCATCTGGAGAGTGGGTAAAGTCTTTGGTGGGTCCCTGTGCCTCGGCATCTATTTCCTGCGGTGAAGTGGTGGGTCCAGGCTTTGCCACCACCAATGCATCATCCCAACCTCATCCCCTGGGGCAGCCCTCAGCCAACCATCCTCCCACCCTGCTGTACCTCACAACCCTTCCTTGAACTTTGCTTCACTCTGGGCTGCCAAGAACAACCATTTCATCTGGTTCTTCCCTCCCAAATTTCTACTCCTCTCTGACACACTTCTTTATGACAGTCTCCATTGCTATCCATCTTTTGAGCTCTACTAGGCATTGAGAGGAAGACACACCAGGCAGGACCTGCCTACAAAGGGCTTACAGTCAGGTATGGTCACAAACCATATCTGAAAATGAGGAGGAAGCAAAGTTGAAACTGAGAGAAGAGAGTGTAGATGAAAGACTTTAGGAATTCATGGATAAGAGAAAAGACCTCCATCGAGTTGGGCTGGGGAGAAGTCAGAAGAGTCTCTTACAGAGGAGGTGATGTTGGGTTGGTCCTTGTAATGGATAGATTTGCACGGGGCGAGAAGGGCATTCTGGTGGAGGGAGCAGTGTAAGCAAAGCATGGAGATAAGAAGTCAGCAGGTTTAAGTTAAAGAACCTCTGATATTCTCTAGAGGGCCCAACTCTTCCCAAGTACTCCAGTTTCCTTTAACTCTGTTTCAAATTTCTTGGACTCAATTCACACTTAACTTCTTCCTTCTAGATCTCCAACAACTATGTTGGTCTGTGTGCCCAGAGCTTTTAATTTATTTCCATATTTATTAACAAAATTTATATAGCACTTACTGTGTGCTAAATGCTGTTTAACTGCCTTACAAACGTGGACTCATTTCATCCTCACAGCACTACTCTGAGTAGGTTGTGAACCCCAAATATCTGAGACAGGTCTCAGTTAATTTAGAAAGTTTATTTTGCCAATGTTGAGGATGTGCGCCTGTAACACAGTCTCAGGAGGTCCTGACTACATGTGCCCAAGGTGGTCAGAACAGCTTGGTTTTATACTTTTTAGGGAGACATGAGACATCAATCAACATATGTAAGATGAACATTTGATTCCGTCTGGAAAGGCAGGACAACTCGGAGCAGGGAGGGGGCTTCCAGGTCACAGGTAGATAAGAGACAAATGGTTGCATTCTTTCAAGTTTCTGTTAGTCTTTCCAAAGGAGGCAACCAGATATGCATCTATCTCAGTGAGCAGAGGGGTGGCTTTGAATAGAATGAGAGGCAGGTTTGCCCTAAGCAGTTCCCAACTTGACTTTTCCCTTTAGATTAGTGATTTTGGGGTCCCAAGATTTATTTTCCTTTCACAAGGTCTACTGGTTTCCTAGGGTTGCCACAAAAAATTACCATAAAATGTTGGGGGCAGGGGAGCTTGAAAACAACAGAAATTAATTTTCTCAGTTCCGAAGGCCTGAAGTCTGAAATCAAGGTGTGAGCAGGGACATGCTCCCTCTGAAGGCTCTGGGGAAGAATCCAATCCCTTCTTGCCTCCTCCACCTTCCAGTGGCTCCAGGTGTTCCTTGGCTTGGTCTACATAACTCCATTCTCTGCCTCCATCTTCACGTGGCCTTCTCTGTGTCCTCTCCCTTTCTCTTCTGACACTTGTCTTTGGATTTAGGGCCCACCCTGATCCATAATTATCTCAAACCCAGGTCCTTACTTTAATTACATTTGCAAAGATCCTTTTTCCAAATAGGGTCATGTTCACAGGTTCTAAGTGTACATATCCTCTTTGGGGAGGGAAGATCACCATTCAACCCACTATCATAGGTATGACTATTGACCTTATTTCACAGATCGGGAAATGGAGACACAGAGAGGTTAGCTGATTTGCCCTAGGTCTCACAGCTTGTAAGTACAAGAAGCAGAGCCACTTTCTCCTCTACCAGCTCTCTCTGGGGCTGTGATTTTCCACTGCAAGTGCTCAGCTCCAGGCCCGAGTCTCACTCAGATCTCTGGAATGTTTGCACTCAGCCCAGTCACCTAAACTGCCTCTCATTTTATGCAGGTGACCTGCAAACATAGACCTGAATATCTCGTCAAGCTACGGAACCCCTGGGGAAAGGTGGAATGGAAAGGAGACTGGAGTGACAGGTGAACTTTGGGGACATCTTGGAGGGGTGAGAACAGGTAGGTTAGGCAAAGGAGGCTGCCATTTGCACACAGATTCAAATGTGTGCTTTCTTTGGTCTTAGGCTGGATCAGGAAGCCTTTAGACGGGGAAGCTCAATCCCTCACATTTAGAAGATGCTTTATGGTATAGAGACTGCTTTCTCTTTCATTATAATAATTAAAGCTGATGTTTGTTTGAGGGCTTGCCAGCATTGTG
Source organism: Homo sapiens (assembly GCF_000001405.40). Taxonomy (NCBI): domain Eukaryota; kingdom Metazoa; phylum Chordata; class Mammalia; order Primates; family Hominidae; genus Homo; species Homo sapiens. The sequence goes on along the minus strand of NC_000002.12, from coordinate 31,197,013 downwards.
CTAAACCTTTTGAATTTTTATTATCTCATTTAATCCCCCAAACAACGCTATTACAAAGTAGATAGTTTTATCCCCATTTTACTAATAGAGAAACTTGGATTAATTGAATTGCCTAAGGTCATACAGCATGACTCAACCAAGGTCTTTGGTGCCTGGGTTCAGTGTCTTTCCCTGGCATGGTTCAGCACACCTGGGTTTGCTGAGTCAAAGGTAGACAGATTTGGATTGGACTCTACACTCTGATTACATATAGTAGCCTCTGGGCATTCTGATTAGGTGCCTACATTTAGGTTGTTTCTGCCTAATGGCAGCCCTAAAGAAATGCGGGTTTTGCAGGCTAGACACTGGCTGTAGGGCACAGGCAGAAAGGGAGGTCAAGTCCTAAAGTCCTTCATTCTGTCATTATGAAGATGTATAATACTTAATCCTTTACAGGTCTTCAGAGTCTACAAACGTGTCCATATACACATTATCACTTAATCATTTTTATATTGATAAAATGAAGGCTTAGAAACACAAGTTGAATATTCCTCCTGATAGAATGTGCTGCATTATATTTGTTACACATTAGTAAACAGTGTTGTTAGAGGAACTGAATCTATGTGGGAAGATGTCATCCAAAGAAATACATAAATTTTAACATGCTACAGAAGTCTAGCATCATATTGTTGCTGGTGGCGGTTTCTTTCATAGAGGAACAAGCACTAACATTAGAGATAGATGATGGGTACAATTACAGTGTTGTTACTTTCTAGCTGTGTGATCTTAGTTTAGGCAACCTTCTTAAGTTCTTGGATCCAGAGGTATAGTGAATATTAAAATGATGAGCTTTTATTTTGTAGTGTTTAATCTGCTGTTAATCCCATCCAGTATATTTTTCATTTTAAATATTATGTTTTCAATTCTAGAAATTTCACTTGAGATTATCTTCCATTTCTCCCCTTTTTATGTCCGTGTTTCTCTTTACATCCTTGAGAATATGCGGCACTTTTATAATAGCTGTTTTAATGTCCTTATCTGCTAATTCTATCATCTCTCTCATTTCTACGGTGGTTTCTATGGACTGTTTCTTTATTCCAGGTCACGGATCATATTTCCTGCTTCTTCATATGGCTAATAACTTTTTATTGCATGCTGGACATTGTAAATTTTAGTTTCAGAGTACTGAATTTTATTGTATTTCTTTAAAGAATATTGGACTTTTTTTAAAGTAGGTAGTTACATTACTTAGGGATTGTTTTGATACTTTGAAGTTTTTAAGCACTTTTAGGGAAGGTCAAGACAAACCTTTATTTCAGGGATAATTTGATTCCACTACTAAATTGTAGACCCTCTGGGATCTCTAGTAAAGATTCCATGTATTCAATAAAGTCTTTTGGCTGGGCATAGTGACTCACACCTGTAATCCCAGCACTTTGGGAGGTCGAGGAAGGCAGATCTTTTAAGGTCAGGAGTTCAAGACCAGCCCGGCCAACATGGTAAAACCACGTCTCTACTAATACTGCAAAAATTAGCCAGGTGTGGTGGCATGTGCCTGTAATCCCAGCTGTTTGGGAGGCTGAGGCAGGAGAATTGCTTGAACCCGGGAGGCGGAGGTTGCAGTGAGCTGAGATCGCACCACTGCACTCCAGCGTACGTGGCAGAGTGAGAGTCTGTCTCAAAAATAAGTGAATAAATAAATAAAGTCTTTTAACTCTGTCCGGTAGGAATGCCTGAGATTCCCAGCACTGTGTCCTGCTTACGGTCCAGTCTTAGGGAGTTTCGCTTTCAGAAAGCACAGATTAAAGCTCAGCCAAAGACGCAAGGGAACCCCTGTGAAGTTTCCTGGAACTCCTTTTTTTCATGTAGCCCCCTCCTTTCGGATACTTTGCCCAGCAAATTCTGGCTGTCTGGATCTCCCCAAACTCCAGATTCTGTCTCCTCCACTCAGCCAGACTGTTATGTTCTTTTTTTGAGTCCCTCTCCCTGTAGCGCTGGCCAGGAAATTACCTTCAGGAAGAAAGCCTAGGTGATGTTAGGGCTCACCTCGTTTGTTTCCAGCCTCCTGGGATCACAGACCCCTGTTGCCTGCTGTCCAATATCTGAAAACAGTTTCTCATATTTTGTCCCATTTTTATTTCTTGATGGTAGGAGGCTATCAGGACAGTCTTACTCCTTCATGGCCAGAAGTAGAAGTTCAAATGATGAGCTTTGAAAAATGCAAGTTCAAATGTTAGCTCTGACGTTTAATAGATATTTGACTTCAAGCAAATGACCTAATCTCTCTTAACTTCAGTTTCCTAATCTCTAACATGAAAACAACAAAGTTGTGGTTAGCCTTGAATGAAATAATGTATGTCAAGAATCTAGCCCAGTGCTTGGCTCATAGTAAGCTATCAATTCATGTTCATGCTACTGTATAATATGGAATGGGAAATTTAGTTGTCTGAGGTAGTATGAAAATAATAATAAATAATGACACTATAGAGCCTTTACTAAAGAATTTCTAGCATGCTCCCCACAAGCTTTTCATTCCCTTTTCTATTTTCAGTTCAAGTAAATGGGAGCTGCTGAGCCCCAAGGAGAAGATTCTGCTTCTGAGGAAAGACAATGACGGAGAATTCTGGTATTGGACTTAGGGACTTGGACAAATGTCCTGGCCTACATTTGAAAACCCATCCAGCAGACATTTATTGGATGCCTTATGGGTGCCAGGAACTTCATGTACAGAGATCAATAAGGCACCATCCCTTTAGGAGCTCACGGTCTAGCAGGACAAACAGTGCCTGTAAATAAACGGTCACTGTCTTTGTGATGAGAGTAGAGGCCACTAGGGTGGAGCTCAGCGAGGGCTCAGCCAGGCTGTTTCCTCCTCTCTGGCTTCCTCTCTGCTCTCTTGCTCAGTGTATTCAAAACAGGTTTTGCCTTTTTTGTCCTGAAAAGGCCATGAGGTAGGAAGAGACTGCAAAGTCTTGTCATAGGATAGGCCCCTGACCAGTGCCCTCCAGAGCAGAGTAACACTGCCACCCACTCTGGGGCTGCTCACCTCATTTTTTGAAAGGCCACCAAGACATCCTGAGCTGATGCTGCTTCTAGGTGTCTGAAATGGACCCATCAGTTCTCCTTTGCTTTTGCTCACCACCGTTACTGTGAATGTCAACCCTCGTTCCAAGGACTGCTCCCATTAACCATCCAGTACAGCCTGCCACCGCCCTCTCCCTTTGGAAGGTCTTTCACTGAACTCAAGCTCTGCAAATTCCTGTTTTTTCCACTTTATGGTTAAGTAAACTGAGCATCAGACAGCTTAAATAGAGTGTCGCAGGCCACAAGTTAGCAAGTAGGGGCAAAGATCTTCATGAATTAATGATTAAGAACTGATATGTAATTCTTATTGAACATTTATAGATAAAACAAATGACTAGTTAGCTATGCCTTAATTCAGCTGCTATCACCATGATTCCAGAAACTGGAACATCTCCCCCGGTCAGCCATGTGGCCGGCTGCTTCCAGCCAGAGGGTGGGGCTTCTCAGTAGCTCCAGCCCCCCACGATGGACCCTCACAGGGATCTAGCCAGCCCCAGCTGATGTGCCTATCGTCAGCTCAGCTCTGCACAAGAGCTGGTGTCTTTGTCCATGAGAGGGCTGGGATGCCCACTGCTCCGTTTCACCCTCCCCATGGGTCCTGATAACTAGGCGTTATCTGGTCCATCTCTTTGTGCTTTTCCTTCTTCTCTCCACAGGATGACGCTGCAGGACTTTAAAACACATTTCGTGCTCCTGGTTATCTGTAAACTGACCCCAGGCCTGTTGAGCCAGGAGGCGGCCCAGAAGTGGACGTACACCATGCGGGAGGGGAGATGGGAGAAGCGGAGCACAGCTGGTGGCCAGAGGCAGTTGCTGCAGGGTGAGCATGTGCACAGGAGCAGGGCTCTCAGGGTGAGGTTGTGGGCGGGGGTGTCAGAATGACTGCACAGGGGGTTGCAGCACGAATTCTGCATTGGCTGAGTGGGGAGGAGGCTCTGCTTGCCTCACTGTGTGTTGGGGCCCTGGGCTATAACCACAGGGAAGATGGGGTACCTTTGGACCCAATGTGCACCAAGGCAGAGTCCTCTCAGTCAAGCTGCCAGCCTGTGGGGCTGCATCTTCCCAGAGGGTTGCCCTGTCGCAGTCAGCACCGGGGGTCACAGGCACACAGGCATGATAAAAGCAGGGGCAAGGGAGAATCTTTTTTAGTTTTAGGACAAGACCACTGAAAACACTGAAGTAACCACCCCCTAACTAGGCAGGATTGAAATAGAAATTGTATCTGGTCTTTCTCACCTGGAGCCTGGGAGAAACACAAACCCAGGGCTTCCCAGGATCACTAGATACGGGAGACAAACCTGTCTGGACTCCCAAGATGGGACAGGTTTGGTGACCCTGTCCCTTCCTCCACTGTGGAGATAGTGAGCCATCCCTTTTGAAGGCAAGGCCTGTGGGGTGTGACCTCAGCAGGCCAGGATGGCCTTAGCTCTGGAGTCCCCCTTTTGACACAGTATTTCCCCCATAGTCTGAAGCTGACCTTAAGGTAAGGTTTTGCGTCTATTAAAATGCAAAGGCCCCTAGGATCATGGTCACCTCCCCAGGGAGTTAATACAATTGCTTACTCAGGTAGCACATGCTTGTGGGGTATAACACCTGGGCCAGGCACTGAGCAAGACAAAGGCTACAGTGGTGGGAACAACTCCAGTCAGTGTGTCTGGAGAAGACCTCCAGGTGGAAGAGCAAGGTGGGAGGGCGTAAATCCAAGGTTGAAGGGACCCCGACTCTGTCCCAGTGGGCCTCAGGGTGTCAATCCTGGCAGAGGCGTCCTCAGACTGTTCACCTCTTAGTGGTTCGGCAAGCAGGATGCATGGGGATCCGGGGCCCATTCTCACCTTGCTGTGTTCTGCTCCAGACACATTTTGGAAGAACCCGCAGTTCCTGCTGTCTGTCTGGAGGCCCGAGGAGGGCAGGAGATCCCTGAGGCCCTGCAGCGTGCTGGTGTCCCTGCTCCAGAAGCCCAGGCACAGGTGCCGCAAGCGGAAGCCTCTCCTCGCCATTGGCTTCTACCTGTATAGGGTAGGTGGACCTCTGAACCACAGGGGCATGGGACCAAGCGTGGGGGTCACCAACAGTTACCATGTCTTCCTGTTTCCTGTCTTCTTCACCATCTGTCTCTGTTCACAGACCTGGGTTTTCAAATCCAGGCTCTGTCCTTTAGGAACATGTGATTTAGAACAAGTCACCTTCTTGCACTAGGCCATCAGTTTCTACAATGATATTTAGGCAAAGGGTAGAATAAAAGAGGATTATGTGGTAGTGCTTGTTATTGTGCCTGGCACATAGTATGATCAATATTGGCTTCCTTTTCCTCTCCCCAAAAGCCAAGCATTCTTTCCCTCCCTCTTTTCCAGAATTTCCAATGATAGATTAAAATGTCACTGATAGAACAGCAGGTCTTGTGGGAGGGGACACGGCTTCTGGGTAGAGCCTTGTATATCAGCTTCTATTCGGGTTTCGGTTTATGAAAGAGCCAGATTCCCTGCTTAATGAGATCTCTCTCTCCTCTTTTTTTTTTTTTTTCTGTTTTTGTTTTTGTTTTTTAGATGAACAAGGTGAGTTCTGCACTTGACCGGGTGGCCCTAGTTTGGGGTGACATCACATGTGGCCAAGCCTCCACAGGATTTAGTTAGACTGGAGCAGGCTTCTACTGCGTAAGAAGCTATGATAATGCCAGATGATGAGAATGTCTGCCCGCTGCCTGTGTGTATATGAAAGTAAAGTGCATCTGTTAATCTTTTTTATCCAAAGACCCCCAAGAGATCCTCATGCATCTATGGGAAAGTCTTAGAGCCTAGCAGAGAACCAATACATTTTAGAATTTATTAAATTCCTACACAAATACCCAGGGCTAATATTGACGGCCATCACAGCATAGGAAAGATGATAAATTACAATCATGACTGGGTTATGAAACCCAAAATAAAATAGATTTAAAACATATGGGACATCAAAGACCATGCAGCCCACCTCCCTAGGGAGAAAGGACAAAGGCTTGGGGACATGTGGCAGGAGCATGAGCAGAGGGACAAGAACACCTCCGTGCTTCAGCTGCTGTGGCCGCCAGGAGGGGTCAGGTAGGAAGGCCCAAGGAATCCCAGCTTCTGAGGGAGGCAGCTATTATTTTATTTCCCAAAGAAAACAGGAGTAAAATGCTTAATTTTCTCAGGTTGGATTGAATCAAGTAAAAGGATTATTGTAGAGAAACCATTTTACGCAGGGTCTTTGTTTGTTGTTTCTCTCACAGGAATACTGAACACTCTCAAATTTGCCTATTAATTTAAAAAGAAAAAGTTATTTATGTCATGCCTACTTCTAAATAGAATTTGGGTCAACCTACAATAAAAAACTGTAAACAGAGGAAACCTGCAAATCAGCTACAAAATTTCAAAGCCATTGAAAAATAACAAAGGGATGAGAGCTAGGTAGGCAGTTGCTTCTACCAGGAAAACTAAACCCAGGACAGCTACCGTGGCTCATTATGCAATTTAGCTCTGAGATTCCTAGTAGCCCATGGCAAAGAGGGCAATTGGATGATTCCCTAGTTCTCATTGTCTTATAAAAAAAATGCCTACCTCATCAGGATATGTATTTTATTTCCCAAACATTGAGGAATTTGCTAAATATCTGTTTATTTGGATGGGTGATGTCTTTGTTAGCAGTTGTGTATAAACTGGAGAGAGGATCCTGGTATGGGTCTCCTCTCCCTCTATAGCCCTGAGTGAGAACAAAGGGGAGAGTAAGCAAGAGAGAAAAATAGGGAGAGATGGAGAAACAAAGGAGGCAGAGAGAGAGAGAGAGAGAGAGAGAGAGAGAATATGAATCAGATAAAGCAGATACCCAAGAAATGTCGGAACCAGAGCCCTGATTTTGGTCTTCTGAGCTCTTGCCCAGTTCTCTTTGTCCTTTACAAGGGTGTTTTCCCTGAGATGATGCGGAATGTCCAGCTTATCTGTGTGTAGCTGTGTGGTGTAGGTGGGGAGGTGGTCGTGGTCCATCTGTATCTGTGTCCATAAGTCATGCCATATCACATACATGGAGGCAGCATCAGGAAGGGTAAAGAACAGGAGCATTGGAACTCAGCTGTCCTTAATTCCCATCGGGCTGGGACTGTACCCAGCTGATGACTCTGGGCAGATGACCTAACCCGTCTAAGCCTCAGAGCCCTCAGCCATAAAATGGAAGGCACAGGGACATTCCTCACATCATTTAGTGCTGGTGTTGTTTTTAAGGTAAGTCAAATCAAATGACACGTGTTTATGTAGCCCCTGATAGGTTCCAGCAAAGGTGCAGCCCTCCACACACATATTCTGGTTTTTCCTTTCCTCCCCACTTGTTTCATCCTCCACTGGGGCCTATTGGATTTGGCAGAGCAGAGGCCACCTTAGTCCTGGCTCAGAGCTTTGAGGGCCTCAGGCCTGGCCACAGCCCTGGGTCATCACCTCCCTTGCTGTTCTTCTGTCCTCTACCCACAGTACCATGATGACCAGAGGAGACTGCCCCCTGAGTTCTTCCAGAGAAACACTCCTCTGAGCCAGCCTGATAGGTTTCTCAAGGAGAAAGAAGTGAGTCAGGAGCTGTGTCTGGAACCAGGGACGTACCTCATCGTGCCCTGCATATTGGAGGCCCACCAGAAGTCAGAGTTCGTCCTCAGGGTCTTCTCCAGGAAGCACATCTTTTAGTAAGGACACAAGGTCTCTCCTAGAGGGTGGGGACCACTTGGACGAGGACAGGCAAGGAGGGCAAGGTTGGAAATGGCAGAAACCAGGATCTCTGCTGCTGAGACAAAAGGGAGATGGGGAGAGCAGGAGACCAGGTGACTTTCTGCATGGAGAACATCCCTCCCGTTCCTTCCCACCCTCCTTCCACTCACAAACTAACACCATGCTAGACATTAGAGAGAAAAAGATAAAACACACATAGCTTCTGCCCTCCTGAAGTTCAAGGTCTGGAAAGAACACAGATATATGAGCAGTTATTGATCTTCCAGTGCATCCAGTGTAAGCATTTTATATGCACAGGGTGTTACAAGAGCCTCAAGGAGGAGAATTTGAGCCAACTCCCATGGTCCTGGGGGAAGCAGGAGTGGCTTCAGGGAGGAGGTGACTATTATAAGATGCATAGGGGTTGTTCAAATGAAGGGAGGCTGTCATGAACTAGCAGGCTTCCATTCTACTACTGTATCCAGTTGAATTAATGTGCACATATCCCAACCAAACATATTATTTTGCCTATGATTGTTTTACCTGCCAGGTTTTGTGCTTTTTGTTTTGTTTTGTTTGTTTGTTTTTTATGTCTCGGCCACAGGTAGTTTGATTTGATCTCAGGCAGGCCCCACTGCCACGTCAGACCACTAAGTCTCATGCTCATCTTTTAAGACTAGTTAGATGAGGGTGCAGGGAATTACAAGCAGTGTGCTGTGCACATGGCTGGAATGTACAGTTCAAGGGGAAGCAGGAGGTGAGGTGTGAGAGCTGGGTGGGCCCTTGTGGTGCCTCAGTGAAGGAACGTGGAAGACGAGCTCCCAGGAGAAGGGGAAGATTGGCCAAAAAATTCCCAAGAGGAAACTCTGAGTTTGTTCTTGTTTGTTTGTTCTCAGTGAAATTGGCAGCAATTCTGGTGTCGTCTTCTCAAAGGTGAGTAGTCTGGTGGAATTCCATATGGCTGGGACTGCTTTCCAAGCCAGGGTGTTGGGTTTCTCCCTTCAAGTTAAGGAGTCAGGGGAGGAGATATGCGGATCCTTACAGACCCTGTTCTATGGCAAACATTACCCGTTGTATCCTAACAGTACCTGGGCTTTGCTGTTTTTGCACCAACAAAGAGTAGAGAACTACCCTTCTGATCAGGTCCTTGTCACTGAGGGTCCAGAACCCCGGCAGTATGAGCTACATCTCTACATTCTTCTGCTTCTCTTTATCTGGTGTTTCTTTTGTCCATTTCACTGTTTGTGATTTCCCCAGAGTCAGGAAAAATTGGAGAAGCAAGGGCTGTTTGTAAATGCTATGGTGTAAAATTAAAGACGATGCAAAGTCAAGCTCATGGATTTCAGAAACCTGGAAGCCATGAGACATTAGGGTGTGCACGAAAGTCCGTTTATACAGGTGAATAATTGTGTCTTTCTGTGTGTCTCTTCCTATAGGAGATAGAAGACCAAAATGAAAGGCAGGATGAATTCTTCACCAAATTCTTTGAAAAGGTTAGTTGAACAGGTGTGGTGGGGGGTGAGGAAGAGCAGGGGACGAAGTGGAGCTTCTCATTTTATAAAGTATAGGTTTGCACCTGCTTGAGGCTGCTTAGAAACTGTGATTTAAGGCTACCTATTGCCCAAACTGCCACTTTCTATTAAAGTCCTCAAGTTTTTAGACAAATGAGTGGAGCCATTGTCTAGAAGGCTCCTGTAAAATGATTCTCTGTTCTTGGACGCTCATTGATTAGTTGTAGGGAAAGCAACTTTAATCTTTCATCCCTGAGAAAATGGGATATAGCAGAGTAGAATGTCAGAGTTGGGAGTGGGACAGGGGGTGGGGGGTGCAGAGCATGACAATGACAAGCTCTGGGGGCCTTGGGGAGGGTCATTGGAGGGGAGCGCAGGGAGAAGGGGCCCATGAGTGGTCACCTGGAGAGAAGGTGGGACTGATAAGAAGGGGGAGGGCCTGGGACACACGCTTGGTTTCTGTGGCTTCTTCCTTTGGGCTGACCCAGATGTGAGTCTGGCAAGGGCTAATGGTGTGAGTGCGGGGCTCTGGAGGCCATGCTCTCCTAACCTGCAAGACACTTAGGAACAGGGCGAGAAACATACTGGAAATCTGGGGTCTGATATTTGAGCAATGTCACTAAAACAGAGAATATGAGCCCCCTATGTTAGTGACACTCCTGATTTAAAGTCACAATTTACCTGCCTTGCCCATCTGGAATTTTGTTTAATGTAGCTGGAGAGGATAAATCAGAATCTTATATGTATTGTTTGTTAAAGTTTTCCTCCATACCTGTGGTTTCCAAACATTTGATGCTGCAATCCTTTTATCAAATGAAGTCTCATAGAGAATCCCAATCTATATAAAACAACTAAAAATTGC